>NC_000012.12:68975279-69126794 GCF_000001405.40 Homo sapiens
TTATACCTTAAATACTATAGCTTTATGGTGTGTTTCATTAAATAATTAACCATATTCTTCTGATTTTTCTAAATGATATGGGTTATTTTTATAAGTTTAGTCTTTCAGATAATGTTTAAAATTATTTTGAATAGATCCAAGAAATACGCTGTGGAAATTTTCACATTAAATTTATAAATTGACTTGGAAATTGATGCCTTTATAACAATGAATCTTTTCATCCAGAAATAAAGTATCTCACTTCATTTGATTGTTTCCTTTTTTGTCTCTGAGTAAAATTGTAAAGGATTCTTTACATAGGCCTTTGTATTTGTTGTTAAGTTTATTCATGGGTATTTAATATTTAGTTTTGCTATTGCAAAACGATATTCATTTTTTTTTCCAACCGAACAGAGCCATATGTAGGAAAGATACCAATGTTTATACACTTATTTTGCAACTGAGCATACTGAATTCTAAAAATACTTTCCTACCCAAGTCGTGTAGGTGAAATGAGAATGAGAGCCATGAGATATAACTGGAAAGTCTTGCTCCTATCCTTCTTCCTTCTTCAATTATACATTATTTGAGTTTCTTTTATTTCATTAAATATAAATGGCTGTCCTGTGAAAACAAAAATAACAGCATGACCTAAGGTCATCTGTATGACCAAATCTCCTTGAAAAAGCAGAGTGAGTTTCCAAGTGAGCATGATTAAACAACGCATAACAGGACCCACCTGCGGTTGCTTTAGCTTTCACCCTTCTGCCAGCAGCTGCACATCCTGAAACCACATTCTCCCTAAACAGGAAGAATATAAAGGACCCCTTGGCTAGGTAAACCCTGTTGCTGCATTCTGACACTGGTTGCTACCTGTGTAGATGTCATACTGAGTGCTGTTATTACCCTCGTTTTACAGATGAGAAAACTAGGCCCAGAGAGGTTAAACACTTCATCCACTCAGTCACTTATTCATTTATTCTTTTAATAAATTTAAATTAAGTATTGAGCACCCACCATGAACTGAGCCCTCTTCTATGGCTGTGAATGAAAGTTGCTGCCCTCATGAAAGTTACATTTTAATGGGGCAGACATGTATAAACAAAAAAGTACCCCCTCCTAGGTGGCACAGCTGAAATTGTAATTGAGCAATGGACCTCAGTCTGGTTGCAGAGCCCATGGGTTTGACCACGACTGCAAGGCCACATTGAGAGAGAAGAGAACACACCCTGGAGAAGGTGATCCGGCATCACCTGAAAAGCCTTCAAGATGGCATGACTGGGGTGAGATGACCACAGTCCAGGGTGTCATCCAGAACCACCTCATTCTACAAGTTCCACCCAGGGAGAGGATATCTCTCCCAGGGACAGCTGCCTTTACCACTCTTAGGAAACCATTTTATGTGTTCAACCTTCCTGACCCCTGTAGCCCACATACTTACTCTGTGTTCTTTCTTTCACATTCTTGCTAGTGCAAATGTCAATTCAATAAGCTATTAATGATTAATAAGAACTAACTTCTTTTAGCAGAGCTAAATGAGGCTGATGCCAGGGTTTTCACATACATAGTACAACAGTGGGCAGAAATAGCTAAGTGGAGTTAGACAAAAACTTTTAATATCATTAAAAATTATCCATAGAAGTAGGGCAGTTGGTGACAGGGCTATCATCTGATGCTATGTGGATTGACCTTTACTTAATAAAATTCCATTTGCCAGCCCCTGCTATTCCTTCCTTAATGAAACCAAGGCTCTTCTTGTCTTACAAACATAGATATTTGATAGATAAAGATCTTTTCTAAATATCCAGAGTTAATCTTCATTTACTAGTTTCGAGATTCATCTCGATTTTAACTTTTAAGAAAGTATTTATATTGTTTAACCTCTTTGAAACATTTGGAATTAACTAGGCCTTTATCTTAGTACAGTGTTTATTTAAGAACTCTAGAAACTTTATAAAGGATTTAAATCACTTTTGCTAAACACTGTTGGTAGTTTCAATACAGGAAAAAAATATTTTCTCTGCTATTAATTCAGCTTGGTGTCAGATGTTGTCAGTCCCTTGGAAATCAGCTTCAACTGTTCAGCTTTAATTAACTTTTTTTTTTAATTTGTGAAAGAGAGGAAAGAGGAGACCCCAAGGAAAAGACACCCAGACACCCTGAAGCCTTTCTAATAGCACCGCACAGAACTCTGGGTTTTCCCTCTGGGTCCTCTGTAATTAAGCGGTACAGCCAAATTTGGTGAGCACACTTGCTATGGAAAACTTTACACGCCTTTTCTTTCTTTTTTTTTGGTAACATCATGTGAAATCCTTGCAAATACAAGGGCCTTTTATTTATTGACAAAGGGAACAGTGATTCTAGACAAGCAGCTCTCTTGTCCTTCTCAAAAATAAGAAAGAGAATCTGTTGCATTTTCCAGTGCAGAGCACCCAGAGTGAAAACTGCATATTGTATGTTATTTCTCCTTGATTTTGTGAATGCTTTCTATCAAAGAGTGAAAATTATTTATGTAAACTCGCTCATGCCTTCTGCAAATGATTTGAAAAACAGAAATATTTTTAAGTGATTCAGGGTCAAACATTGCATTACTGACCAAATTGTACAAAGTATTAACTTACCTGTTTTGGAGAATTTGAGATGAAATCAAGAAATGGGTGGAATGATATTTTTTTTCTTTCATACATTGCTGGATAGGCAATTATGTATTCATCTGGAAACATGAATGGAGTGCCCTCTGTGTGCTAGGCTGTGTGCTAGGCCCTGGGGATGCAAGCATAAATAAGATAGGGCCCTTGCTTGGCACAGCTCACTTTTGCAAAGGAGATAGGCAGGTAAACAAATAATCACAATGCTGGGAGCCCCAAACTCTAATCAAGAGCACCTGGCAGGCACAAGGGACTCCTTCCCCCAGAGACCCAGAGCCAGCAAAGAAAAAGAGGATGCAAATCACAGTCAAACAAGGCATTGATTTCAGATCTTTATAGATTCCAACCAATGCTGCAGAGACACTCAGACTGTTACTGTGCATTCCCTGTATGCATGGATGGCCAAAGTGCGGTAATTTTGGGATGGTCTCTGACACTGGCAGCTTCTATTTTTAAAGAGGCCTTCCTGGGGAAGTGCTGTCTTCCTGTCCTTGTATAAGTTAGTCTGAGACTCAAGATGGAGCAAGAGATCTCTGCTTTCAAAGACTGCAGTAGATTTACCATGAGTCTCCAATTAATAATAACTTACTGAATGTCATCTAAGTGCTTTCAGCTACATGTCATCTCCTCAAACAGTCCCTCACTGACAGAGGTGGATTTATGGTGAAAACAATGAGGCTTACATTTCAGAGCCCCTCACTTGCAGGGGTCCTTTGTAAGTTCTGGGAGGGACTCTAGTGATCTATTCACATGCATGTGTGTTTTTGTAAATGTTGCAAAAGTAAAATATTTTAACCACAATCAGTTAAAACTTAAGGCTACTCTCTCTTTTTATTCCAATTTTCTCTACCTCTTGCCTCTCTTCCATTGGCATTGGAGTGGCTATAGGCCTTTGGAGGACCTGGCAAAGGGGAAGTTGATTTAGGGGTTCATTGAATTGAGGGGAAGTATGTAAGTGGTTTGCAGTCACTTCCTTGTGTGGTACTCTTGTATAGTAATGATTTCCTGGAATACTCATCACTCACTGCCGACCACCTGCTATCGTCACACAAAGACATCTCAACATGAAAATGTCCTACAACACCCAGCACCAGAAGACAAGGATAGTATGGGAGGAAAGTGAGTTTGTTTTATTTTTATTTTCTTTTTCTTTAAAAAATTTTTTTTTTTTCGAGACGGAGTTTTGCTCTTGTCACCCAGGCTGGAGTGCAATGGCGCGATCTCGGCTCACTGCAACCTCTGCCTCCAGGGTCCAAGTGATTCTCCTGCCTCAGCCTTCTGAGTAGCTGGGATTACAGGCACCCACCACCGCGCCCAGCTAATTTTTTTTCTATTTTTAGTAGCGATGGGATTTCACCATGTCGGCCAGGCTGGTCTCAAACTCCTGAACTCAGATGATACACCCGCCTCGGCCTCCCAAAGTGCTGGGATTACAGGCGTGAGCCACCACCCCCGACCAATTTGCTTGAAGAGACAGGATCTCACTATGTTGTCCAGGATGGTCTCAAACTCCTGGGCTCAAAGGATCCTCCCACCTCAGCCTCCCTAATAACTGGGATTACAAGTGTGAGCCACTGTGCCTGGCAAAAGTGAGTTTGAAATGTGTGGAGTCAGAAGCTATCTGTGGGGCATCTTTTCAAAGCTTATAGCTCATATATGAAAGAAGCTTAATTGAGGGTTTCCCAATCTTGATAATCATCCTCAAAATTCACATAATTTTACCAAATAACAAGTTGTGAAGCTGAAAAACTTTTGAGAAGTATTAACAACAAATGGTTTACCACTTTAAGGGAAAGACCAAAATGTCTTTCTAGTCTCTTAATAAAAAGCAAATACCAAGCCATTATCATATAAGGAGGTAATCAAAATATATATGGCCAAATAATGTAGGAAAAGGTATTGTAGAGGTATGTCAGAAAGTTTTATTAACTTTAATTAAATATTAATTATTTTTTCTGGATTTTGTGATGCTTATTTCTTAGCTTTTATTTGTAATTCTTTGTCTTCTCATTTTGAATAAATTTTCATGTTTGTGCTAGCTTTGTATTCATGATTTCACAGTCTTTTACTTTAAAAAGGCACCTCCAAATTGTAAGTCTCAAAATCTATAAAATCTGAATCTGCCCATTTCATGGCCACGCAGTCTAAAGCAACGGTACAGTCCCTCTGCTGTCGCTGAATTTCCATTCTCTCCTAGAAGTTCCCACTGCCTGACTTTTCCCCTTATGAAGAGATGTAGCTGATGTTGTTGAGACTCTGCGCATGACCCATAACCAGCCCGTGTGCCCCACTCCTGGGCACGCAGCAGCTAACACCTTACACCCATGGCCTTCTTCTAAGAAACGCTCTTGCCTAAGGAGCCTCTTTACCTGAGAGGCTACTACAACACCCTGGGGTGGCCAATGACTGACAGAGACGGGTACAAAAGCTCCCCACTGTTGCTTTCAAGGACAACTCTGAAGGTGTGATTTGCACTTCAGGGCCCCCAGGGATCAGGCCCAGGTTAGATTTTTCCACAGCACCCCTCTGCTTGGCTTCTTCCCCTTCCCCATCCTGATTTCTTCATCCTTTACAGGTTTTCCTGAGGAGAACATCCTCAATAAATCACATGCACCCAAATCCCCATCTCAGTCCCTGACAGTGTGTTTATCTTCTTACTGTCTGTCCCCACTTCTCAAGAGGATATAAACTAAGAGAGCAGTGACTTGACCCAGCTCCCTCATTGCTGTATTCCTATTGCCTGGAGCTTGGCGTGAAGTAACTACACCATGTAATGAGATGAATAAACGTTGAATGAGGATATGAATTCCAGTCACTTTGCACATCTTTCCTCTAAATCTCGTGACAACCAAGAGGGAGATATTGCTTCTTTTCATATTACAAGGTAACACCCCTAGGCAGTACTCTGGCTGCTGCTGAGCCCTGTTGTCCTCTGTTGGCACCATCACCTGACCTCCAGGGAAGGGGTCCAGCATTTCCCTGCATGGTCCTGACAAAGATGTGGATGTGGACCCCTCCCTGATCCAATGCAGGACAGACTGTACTGATGATGAAAGGACACGTGGCACAGAGCATGATTCAGACGCACTGCCGAGTCAGGACCCAACCCGAGACCCTTTCCTTGGCACGGTCCCAGGTTCTCTTACAGGTAATCGCCCAGGGACAAGGAAAGCCACCCTCCACCAACAGAAATGCTTCCGGCAATTGCATGACCCTGAGACTGCCAAGCATTGGCCAGATCTAGAGCAAAGAAAATATTCCTCCTACCACTACCAGATAAGCTCCTTCCAGAGTCTCTGTTCCCTACTCTCAAACTGACCTCTTCCCAATGACAAGGGCTCATTCCCTTCAGCAGACACCCCCATCATCATGGGACCATTGGATATTGGATATATGAAGTTATTAGGATAACCTCATAATATCTGGCAGTATATTTCCAGAGTTTATGCTATTCGCTCTTAAGTAACTCTCTCTACCCCAACAAGTAATCTGTGAGTAGCTACCCCAAGTTCTGGGCAGAGTTTTTCAGTTTCTTCTCAGAAAAGTCTTATAAAATTTTGTAGTGTGCTTTCATCTGTGACCATCTTCTTACAGAAGAGTAAACCAAAATGCATGCATTGAATATTTTATAGCTTGGGTATGAGAATAAGATGAGCCCACATGAGACAATTACCAGTACAAAATTAAACTGTAAATAAGACAGGGAGTTAGAATCTACCTAGAAGGCTATAGTGCTTTTGTTGGAGCTTCCAAAAGGAGAGGGTGAGATCAGCTCTGGTTAGCTCGAGTTTGTGGGAAGTCACAGACATGATGCATTTCCTTTTGGCACTAGTTTGTTTGGCAGGGACACGTCACCTAAGGTGATAAGGATGAGCTAAAGGGGCTGGCTCTCCACCAACCACTGCAAGGGATGGAAGTGGAGGAGCTGCTTGGCATCTCCCTGTTGTTCCATTATCTCTTCCTCAACATCCGATTCTCCTTCCGGTCATCCTCCTTCCTATCCTTCCCTCTTTCTCCTCCACTTTCCATTCATCTGACCTCTCTTTTCTTCCCTTTTCCTTTTGAATTTAAGGTTTGGTCAGTTTGAGACATACACTCTACTTGTGAGGCACAGCAATTTGTGGAGGAGAAAGGGCCCCTGAGTGAAACAGACCTGGGTACCAACTCAGATTTGTGCCTTACAGGCAAGTTATATAACCTCTCATAGCTCTGTGCCATCCATAGAAGTGAGGACACAAAGCTTTCTCAAGTTATTTGAAGGAGTAAACAAGATGATTTATGTAAAGTGCCTGGCACATAGATAGCTCTCAGTAGATGTTTATTTTTCCTTACTTCCTTCCTCCTTATTTATTTTTTAGTGCTATGTGCATATTAAATAGTAGTCATTAAATGGATGCTTATTAAATGAGTATTTGGAGTTCAATTAGTAAACTGTCAAATACTTAGAATTATTAAGATTGGGAGGGATTTAATAATTATTATTATAATACCTTGTGCTAGGCACTGGGATTAGAGAAGTCCTTGTCGTATAATATCTGACACGACCCTCCCCAAATGCATAAGGTAGGCATTATTTTTATTACCCAAGATGCAGTCTTTATTACTCAGGGTCCACATTTCATTTTACAAATTAAGAAGCTGAGGCTTAGAGGGGCCAAGTAATTTACATGAGGTCACAGAATGGAATCTTGACACCAGAACCAAACCCTTCAACTGCTAGGTTAGACTGCAGAGTCATTGAATATTTTTGATCCCCTGCAGCCCATAAGGAAGGTAGAGCCCAGCAATTGGAGCATCATTTGTTTCCTGACTGCAAAGTGAATCATCCTTCTTAAAGATAGTATAAGTAATGTGCAGTTACGCAAAATTGAAAGATTTGAGACAGAGCCATATTGTTCTCACAGGAAAGGATTAAGGGGTGGGGGGATGTGGAAAATTAGGAGCATGGGAGGAAAATGGATTAAGTGACATGTTCTAGGGCAGCCCAGAGCTGGTGGATAACAGAAAGTTCTAATGGGGAATCTTACTAGGTTGTTTGCAGTTTAAGATGAGTTAAATCAAGTTTAGCCCAAAGCTGCCTCCTTACATATATTAAGTTCAGCCTAAGGGTATCTCTGTACACGTGAACTATAACAAGTGGAAGTAGAAATAGACCATAGCCTACATTTGTGCCAATCATCAAGGTTTGGCCAATCAAATGTAGCCAATTGTTTGAACCGTATTTAAATAAGGCAAACACCGAATTGTAACCAATCCAGCTGTTTCTGTACCTCACTTCTTTTTTCTGTATGTCACTTTCCTTTTCTCTCCATAAATCTTCTTCCCCCATGTGGCTCTGCTGGAGTCTCTGAGCCTATTCTGGCTCAGGAGGCTGCCCAATTCAGGAATCGTTCATTGCTCAGTTAAACTATTTTAAATTTAATTCAGCTGAAGTTTTTCTTTTATCAGATGGTGTCAGAAGTGGGATCCGAAGTAGAGCTTCTAACATCCCCTAGGAGCACTGAGTGACCAAGTGAGGAACTCTCTGGACTGATTGTGTCCATTGATCTCTTGGAGCAGCTGGGGATTGTGGTAAGTTCTCTCTCAGATTCCAAAGCTCCACGGATTTGTGTTTTTAGCTCTCCGAGTTTCTTTGAGCAAGTTTCTGATCCAAACTGGATTTGGAAGTTGTGATGAGAAACTGGACTGAGTCCAGTAATTAGCTGGTTTGGATCCAGCTAGAGGCTTCTTACATCTGACTGGGTCAGAAGGAAACCAGTAGTAAATGGCAATATTGCAGGGGGTGTAAAATTTGGCTTTTGGAAATTCACAGGAATTTTTGTGTTCTACCCCTTTGGTTCATTTTTCTTGTGCACTTAGGTAGGAAAAAAAATCAATCACTGACTAAGTTGATCAAGGGAACCTGAAAGCAAAGCCAATATTTGAGGTAAAAATGAGATCCTTAATTTCTGAAGAATTGAGTTCCTTCTGGCTTATACACGCACAAGTGTTAGGCCTTATAAGCAGCGAAGTCTTAAAGAAATGGCAAAATCTTACTAAAGATAACTTACAGTGGAACGTTCCAAATGAACAACACTGCACTGAAGTGTGTTAGAAAATGAGGGCTTCCAAATTAGTCTCATCTGTACTGATATGCAGAAGCTTGTAAAAAGATTTCAGTATTTTTATATGAAGACTTTATGAAAGGCAAATAAAAAGCTTAAGTGACTAATTGATTAAAAAAATTAAATCTGCTAACCTTTTGGCTTAGTTACTATTCTAATCCAAAGGAAGTAACTGCAGCACCAATTGGCTGACTTTGGGTAAGTAGTGGAGTACATTTTACCTGTATTGGGTTAGAGAATTGGGTTAGAGGCCCTCCCCTCAGTAAAGTCCCTCTTGGTTAAAAATGGATTTGGCACAATGGGCTGTTAACTGCTATTCTCTTTGGATTAATCTGTCTTGTACTTTTTGCTGATGACAATGGGTGACAGGATTAGGCATGTACAGGATCACGGGACCTGGGGAACCTTCCCCAAAGGGGGAAACTTGAGGGCTGATGGGATTGCTGGAAAATATCCCTTTGCAACTGACACGTGGCCATCTGAACTTTTGATTCAGCGTTGCTACAATGGGTGGGTCTTACTCTGGCCTCCCTGAGTGGCTTGCCTTCTTTACCCTGCTGCAAGCAATGTTTTTCTCCCTTTCCTTTCCTTTCCTCTCTCTCCGTGCAAACTGGTTGTAGGAATGGTAAAAAATTACTATCTCTTGTAAAGTTTTAATTAATGAGAAAAGGATTTGTGAGGCTGGTCTTAAGCTGTAGCGAATCTGGTGTACTTTGTGCTATGAATTTGTCTTTCTGCATCATTCAGTCATAAAAAGGGGTACCATAAGATGGAATGCAGGCCTAGGCCCCCATAAGCTTGCTGCTCAAGCCAACCCAGCAAACTGGTCGTTATAAACTTTGCTGCAGGTCCCTGAAACAAACATCATCAACAACAACAACAACAACAACAAACTGGATAAGCGTTTCCCTCTTGTCTTGTTTCATGCCCTTGAGAGCTTGACCTTGTAACCACAGGGTAGTACTTTCTCTTGGCCTCTGCCATCCAGGAAACAGGAATTTGGGGGTTCATGTGACAGTTAGTTCCAAAAATTATTGTGAACATTTAAAAGCCATTGCATCTCAAAAAATGACTGCTCTAGGCTCCTTCTGGGAAGAAACAACAGAAACTGCCCAATGCTGTAGCTTCGTGGCGAAGGCTTTGTCTCTTCTCAGTGGCAGCCAGGATTCAATTCCTGGCTTAGGGGATGAGTCCTTTCTGGTTTGATATCTAAGTGGCTATTGCTATTTATTGATTCTCTCCCTCTCCTTTTGACTTCCCATCTTGAATTCTTCTTTCTCTGAGCACCTGGGAGGTTACCTTTGGTAAAGTTCAAAAGCCAGAAATATTTGCTATTTGTTCTGGCTAGAATCCGGTTAAAAAAATATTTGGTTAAAAGTCAGTGTAGGCCAGGTGCGGTGGCCTACGCCTGTAATCCCAGCATTTTGGGAGACTGAGGAGGACAGATCACTTGAGGTCTGGAGTTCGAGAGCAGCCTGGCCAAAATGGCAAAACCCCATCTCTACTAAAAATACAAAAAAATTATCCAGGCATGGTGCTGTGTGCCTGTAATCCCAGCAACTCAGTAGGCTGAGGCAAGAGAATCGCTTGAACTTGGGAAGCAGAGGTTGAGGTGAGCCAAGATCACACCACTGCAGTCCAGCCTGGGTGACAGAGTGAGACTCTGTCCCCCAAAAAACAAAACAAAACACTTGGTTAAAAGTGGATATTCAAGCTACAGGTATATTTAAAAGGCCTTTATGGTTTTTTTTCCTCTATTTGGATCTTTTTTTTTTCTTTTCAGGCAACTGAACTGTTTTTCTCCATTTTTTTCTTCTTGCCACTCTTGATGCATACATGAGAGGACCTAAGATAACTTCTAACAGCCTGGGACTCCTTGGGAAAAACAGAGGAGGTGCCACAGACCCCATTTTGGGAAAAACCTCTGTTTTCCTAATGAAACCCCAGGAATTAGAAGCAGATAGATCTCTCTCAAAATCTAAGGCTAAATATACTTTTAGGGATGGCAAATGGCAGTTGGGGAGATACTCAGCTCTTTGCACATTGGATCAGAGAAGCATGCTCTTGGCCATCTGGAAAGTATGGAAATGTCCCCATCCCCCACCAAGAGATAAGACTCCCATTGGGGTGGGCTAATCACAGAATGGGCTGATTAGCTTTGGGTGGCTTTGCATTGAAATGCACGGTCAAATCATTGCACTGTCTTGTTCCATAGCATTTCTCTTTTGAGGATCCAGGATCCAACATAAAATTGGGATCCTGTTTTTTTGGATATCTGTTTTGCCTTCCAGCTGTGCTTACTTATTAGGACCTAGAAATTGCATGTTTTCTTAGTCCTGTTCCTCCAAGGACTCCACCCTGAATCCAGTAATCCAGTTAAGAAATTTAAAAACTGGCAAATGAAACATCTTACAACTACTGGATCTTCTGTGTTTCTATGTATTTATGTGTTCTGTGTGTGACGTTTGTATATAAAAGAGGTCTGATTAATTGGCTTAAAAAGAAGAGCTCTTAAATAGAAAAATTTTGGAAGAAAAATTAAAACTGTAATGCCTTTTAGTTCATGTGACTTTAGTAAGCTTTGGGAAATAAGTAAAGACATTTGGTCTAAATTAGGCAGGTCACATATTAGATTTGCTAAATAACCCCCTAGGTTGGGGTGCAGTGGCATGATCTCGGCTCACTGCGACCTCTACCTCCCGGGTTCAAGCAATTCTCCTGCTTCAGCCTCCTGAGTAGCTGGGATTACAGGCGCCCACCACTACGCCCAGCTAATTTTTGTATTTTTAGTAGAGATGGGGTTTCACCATGTTGGCCAGGCTGGTCTCAAACTCCTGACCTTAAGCAATTCACCCGCCTTGGCTTCCCAAAGTGTTGGGATTACAGGCGTGAGCCACTGCACCCGGCCTAGATTTGCTAAATACTTTAAGGTAATAAACTGCTTCTTTGACTTTTGAAAATTTTTCAACTTACCTGCCTTGGAGCCTGCTTTAGATTCGAAGTAAGGTCTGAGGACATGCAAAGTTAGCCAAGCCCCCTGGCTATGCTAAAAAGAGTCAGACTTTATCTATACTTCTGTTTAGTGTCCTAGGCTCCACACCTGGTACATAATTAAAATCACCTACTTACCAGGGTTTTTCACCAAAAATAAAAATTGCTAAGAGTTAACATTGTAACATGTAACTGAGACCACGGAAAAAACCATTTTACGTGCAAGGTGTGTGAGGAAAGTGAAATATGCTTTTAGCAAAAGATTATAAGATGGAGCAGGAATGTAAATTTTTATCTAGTTTAGAGGGTTAAAGGATTGTTTTAAATTAGATAGGATAAAGCTGAAGGTTTGAGCAAATTGTGGAAGATTTATGAAAAATTAATTTTGTAAAAAAAATTATTGGCCGGGCACAGTGGCTCATGCCTGTAATCCCAGCACTTTGGAAGGCTGAGGCAGGCAGATCACGAGGTCAGGAGATTGAGACCATCCTGGCTAACATGGTGAAACCCCATCTCTACTAAAAATACAAAAAATTAGCCAGGTGTGGTGGCAGGTGCCTGTAGTCCCAGCTACTCGGGAGGCTGAGGCAGGAGAATGGCATGAACCTGGGAGGTGGAGCTTGCAGGGAGCCGAGATCACACCACTGCACTCCAGCCTGATGACAGTGAGACTCCATCTCAAAAAAAAAAAAAAAAAGAAAGAAAGAAAATTCTGTGTGTGAACATATTGGCTACATTTAAAGGGGTATTACTTGTTTTTTCTGTAAATTGAACATTGAAATAAAAGCACAACAGGGTTTTCTTAGAGCACTGATCTGCTCTTTAACAAATATTTGTAAAGGGTTATAAAAGATTTATGAGAATCTCACCTTATGATCAAACTGATTAAGATTGGATAAATTTGCCTCTATGATTTATTAAAGATTGGGGTTGACATTAATAGTATGCTAATGCAAGGGTGAAATTTGGCTTTCTCTTTTGAACAAGATTTTCACATAATATTGAAGGATAATCAAATATTTTTGTTTGCCTTTTGAATAAGCTACAGGAAAAAGAAGAGAAACACATGAGACAGATTGTTTGGAAAACTAAGTCTTCAGTTAGTAAAGGTTTCTGCCTTTTTAAAATTTTTGAGTCATCATTTTGGCTAAATGAATGACTTATGGTGACCTGGAATTCTATCTCATAATATCAAGTGTTTTAAACCTTTAACATATTTGACAGGCTTCCCAAAATCAAATTTCAGCTTCAAAATCATCTTTTCTGACCTCTAACTTTGGGATACTACAGAGGGCCCCTGAAGCACCAAAAAGAGAGGTAAACAAGACTATTTAACATGTTAAGTTACATGGGAAGCATTGTCAAAATAAAAAACAATGCTTAACCTTCTTCAGGTTACATTTTAGTGAATGTTATTAATATACATTCCAAAATTGTATGGGATTTCTAAAATTCTAATATGCTTGAATATATGCTATCAATCATAAGTAGGGTTATTATGTTAAATTATTGTAGACCATGGAAATAACCAAATATGCTTGTCAATTGTGTCTTTAACTATGACTACTTAAAGTCATTTCCACAGTTAATTGCTTAATGCTGATAGTTTCTGAAAACTTCACAAGCATGCAAAATCCTAGAATATGGCATATTTTAGGAGGTTCATGAAAGAATGGAAAGGACTCTGAAAAGTACTCTTGAATACAGGTTTCTGGTAACTTTAGAATCATATCATCTGGACTACGTAAGAATTCCTGGAGCTTTAATGAAAAGACTGACTGGTTTACAAAACTGCTAACTCAAGTAGAACAAAAATTAATTTAATACCAAGAAAATACTTTGCCAGATTTTCACGCTAAATCAGCTGATACTGAAATTGTTTAGATATACAATTTGAATGAACTCCATGGTCTAAGTCAAATTACCTATGATAACCCATTAGTTATCAGTGCTATGCACCTAAGTTGGAGAAACAACTGGTATTCAAGAGGACATAAGTCCAGTGTTAAGCATGGAATCACAGAGAACCAGGACAGCTCCCTTGTCATTCCTGATTTCTTAAAGCTTTTGTTATTAAAAGTTCTGCATTCCATGGCTCATCATGGGAAAGATACAATGATCCAAATTAAACATATATTGTTGTGGTGATTTCTAAATTACTAAAATAGTTTATGACCAGTGTTTGGTTTGTTAAACCCATATTCCTGGGAAGACAATCAAAGCTTCAGGTACATTCAGCTACCTGATGGGCCATTTAAACATTTATAGAGGGATTTCATTCAACTGTCATTTTCAATGCATGTTTTCTGGTTATATAAAAGGTCTCCCATGCAAGAGGGCTGATGTTATCAGTAGGTTATTATGCCACAGTATATTTTCACTAGGTAAAGAAAACTTTTTATGGTTTACTGACTGAGGACAATCAACCCCTTCATGATCTAGAACCTGAAGATTGGATCTTCTGGGAACATCAGAGAAAGCCTGCCCTTGCCATCCACACTGCAGCAAAACTTCGGGACCTTGAACCTTGTGTTCATAATCTCACAACTGAGAAGGGTCCTTCCACACTCTTGGAACTGTACATCCACTGGAACTCTTTAGGTAAAGCTAACCAGGAAAGTTTCTCCCCAGAAGAAGACGGCATACTTGATGTGAAGAGCTTTTTCCAAGATCACAGATCATGACTTCTCTACTATCATGAGACTCTTATCTTTGGATATTTTTTTCTCCTTGGTTATGCTTCTGTGGACAACAGAAGTGAAAGAGGGGTCTGTTGTGTGCACTCATGGGTTATACTTTTATTTGTGAAGGATTTTGCAGCCAGCCTTATACATGGATAACCTCATACCTTGATAGATGAAAAATTAAGGCCCAATGTAGATGAAAAACTAATGGTACATGTGTTGCTTTGTAATCAGTCAGAAACAGAACATCGGTTCACTTCTCTTAATCCATATCATGGGTTAAAGAGAACATTGCTAGGAGGCCTTCACTCTTCTAGAAGGGCATCATTTGCTAGGTCCCTTTTCCATGATTTGGAATAAAAGAGGCAATGATTAGAAATGTATCCCTCATGAAAGGCTTTATAGCAGATTCTACTGTAAAGGCTGTGGTTACACAATAGACTTTAAATTCTCTTGTGAAAGTTATGCTAAATAACAGAATAGCTCCAGATTATTTAGTGGCTAAATGGAAAAGTATTTGTGCAGCTGCTGGCATTTGTGGTCTATGGAGACATACATCAAATGTAGATTATAGAGATTCAGTTGTAGGGGATTAATGAAGAGACTGCTTAGTTAAGTGAGTCAATTCTTTCTCTAGCTCATTCTTTGATGTATTTAATTTTAGGTGGTCTGGTTTAGTGGACCCTGGGTAAGGAGCATACTCCAAACATGTTGTATTATCCTCCTGATAGTCATAATAGTAGTCTCCCTGGTGTGCTGTATTCCCTCAAAAGTTTTAAATGTTTGCATGCAGCCATCTCAAGAATGTCAAATGGTCTCTCTTTAACTGGAATGACAAGAGCTGAAAGGAGTATGTGAACATGAGGGCACCATAACCTATGAATAATATGCTGAGACCAGAAACCCAAAATTGTGGGTGGTGCTAAGGCCCTAAGTTTTGATCACACTCTCACCTAAGTAAGAACCTGATCAAAAAGGGGGAATTTTTTAAAGCAAAATTATGGGAGGCCATTGTTTTGAGAGCTTGTTTGGAGGTTCTAGTAGAAGGGAAATGTGAGGTGGGACCCCCCAAACACAGAGTCCCTACTGGGGCACCACCTAGTGGAGCTGTGAGAGGAGGGCCACTGTCCTCCAGACCCCAGAATGGTAGATCCACTGACAGCTTGTACTGTGTGCCTGGAAAAGCCATAGACATGCAAGACCAGCCCATGAAAGCAGTCGGGAGGGAGGCTGTACCCTGCAGAGCCACAGGGGCAAAGCTGCCCAAGATCATGGGAACCCACCTCTTATATCAGCGTGACTTGGATGTGAGACATGGAGTCAAAGGAGATCATTTTGGAGCTTTAAGATTTTCCTGGTAGACTGAGCCAAGATGGCCGAAAAGGAACAGCTCTGGTCTACAGCTCCCAGCATGAGCAACGCAGAAGACGGGTGATTTCTGCATTTCCATCTGAGGTACCGGGTTCATCTCACTAGGGAGTGCCAGAAAGTGGGCACAGGACAGTGGGTGCAGCACACCATGCGGAAGCCGAAGCAGGGCAAGGCATTGCTTCACTCAGGAAGTGCAAGGGGCTTGTCAAAGAAAGGGGTGACAGATGGCACCTGGAAAATCGGGTCACTCCCACCCTAATACTGTGCTTTTTCGATGGGCTTAAAAAACGGCGCACCAGGAGATTATATCCTGCACCTGGCTCGGAGGGTCCTATGCCCACGGAGTCTCACTGATTGCTAACACAGCAATCTGAGATCAAACTGCAAGGTGGCAGCGAGGCTGGGGGAGGGGCACCCGCCATTGCCCAGGCTTGCTTAGGTAAACAAAGCAGCCGGGAAGCTTGAACTGGGTGGAGCCCACCACAGCTCAAGGAGGCCTGCCTGCCTCTGTAGGCTCCACCTCTGGGGGCAGGGCACAGACAAACAAAAAGACAGCAGTAACCTCTGCAGACTTAAATGTCCCTGTCTGACAGCTTTGAAGAGAGCAGTGGTTCTCCCAGCACAAAGCTGGAGATCTGAGAAGGGGCAGACTGCCTCCTCAAGTGGGTCCCTGACCCCTGACCCCTGACCCCTGAGCAGCCTAACTGGGAGGCACCCCCCAGTAGGGGCAGACTGAAACCTCACACGGCCGGGTACTCCTCTGAGACAAAACTTCCAGAGGAACAATCAGACAGCAGCATTTGCGGTTCACGAAAATCCACTGTTCTGCAGCCACCGCTACTGATACCCAGGCAAACAGGGTCTGGAGTGGATCTCTAGCAAACTCCAACAGACCTGCAGCTGAGGGTCCTGTCTGTTAGAAGGAAAACTAACAAACAGAAAGGACATCCACACCAAAAACCCATCTGTACATCACCATCATCAAAGACCAAAAGTAGATAAAACCACAAAGATGGGGGAAAGTACAGAGCAGAAAAACTGGAAACTCTAAAAAGCAGAGCACCTCTCCTCCTCCAAAGGAACACAGTTCCTCACCAGCAACGGAACAAAGCTGGATGGAGAATGACTTTGACGAGTTGAGAGAAGAAGGCTTCAGACGATCAAACTACTCCGAGCTACAGGAGGAAATTCAAACCAAAGGCAAAGAAGTTAAAAACTTTGAAAAAAATTAGACGAATGTATAACTAGAATAACCAATACAGAGAAATGCTTAAAGGAGCTGATGGAGCTGAAAGCCAAGGCTTGAGAACTACGTGAAGAATGCAGAAGCCTCAGGAGCTGACGCAATCAACTGGAAGAAAGGGTATCAGTGATGGAAGATGAAATGAATGAAATGAAGCAAGAAGTGAAGTTTACAGAAAAAAGAATAAAAAGAAACAAACAAAGCCTCCAAGAAATATGGGACTATGTGAAAAGACCAAATCTACCTCTGATTGGTGTACCTGAAAGTGATGGGGAGAATGGAACCAAGTTGGAAAACACTCTGCAGGATATTATCCAGGAGAACTTCCCCAATCTAGCAAGGCAGGCCAACGTTCAGATTCAGGAAATAAAGAGAATGCCACAAAGATACTCCTTGAGAAGAGCAACTCCAAGACACATAATTGTCAGTTTCACCAAAGTTGAAATGAAGGAAAAAATATTAAGGGCAGCCAGAGAGAAAGGTCGGGTTACCCACAAAGGGAAGCCCATCAGACTAACAGCGGATCTCTCGGCAGAAACTCTGCAAGCCAGAAGAGAGTGGGGGCCAATATTCAACATTCTTAAAGAAAAGAATTTTCAACCCAGAATTTCATATCCAGCCAAACTAAGCTTCATAAGTGAAGGAGAAAGAAAATACTTTACAGACAAGCAAATGCTGAGAGATTTTGTCACCACCAGGCCTGCCCTAAAAGAGCTCCTGAAGGAAGCACTAAACATGGAAAGGAACAACCGTTACCAGCCACTGCAAAATCATGCCAAATTGTAAAGACCATCGAGGCTAGGAAGAAACTGCATCAACTAACGAGCAAAATAATCAGCTAACATCATAATGACAGGATCAAATTCACACATAACAATATTAACTTTAAATGTAAATGGACTAAATGCTCCAATTAAAAGACACAGACTGGCAAATTGGATAGAGTCAAGACCCATCAGTGTGCTGTATTCAGGAAACCCATCTCACGTGCAGAGACACATATAGGCTCAAAATAAAAGGATGGAGGAAGATCTACCAAGCAAATGGAATACAAAAAAAGACAGGGGTTGCAATCCTAGTCTCTGATAAAACAGACTTTAAACCAACAAAGATCAAAAGAGACAAGGCCATTACATAACGGTAAAGGGATCAATTCAACAAGAAGAGCTAACTATCTTAAATATATATGCACCCAATACAGAAGCACCCAGATTCATAAAGCAAGTACTGAGTGACCTACAAAGAGACTTAGACTCCCACACAATAATAATGGAAGACTTTAACACCCCACTGTCAACATTAGACAGATCAACAAGACAGAAAGTTAACAAGGATACCCAGGAATTGATCTCAGCTCTGCACCAAGTGGACCTCATAGACATCTACAGAACTCTCCACCCCAAATCAACAGAATATACATTTTTTTCAGCACCACACCAAACCTATTCCAAAATTGACCACATACTTGGAAGTAAAGCTCTCCTCAGCAAATGTAAAAGAACAGAAATTATAACAAACTGTCTCTCAGACCACAGTGCAATCAAACTAGAACTCAGGATTAAGAAACTAACTCAAAACCACTCAACTACATGGAAACTGAGCAACCTGCTCCTGAATGACTACTGGGTACATAACGAAATGAAGGCAGAAATAAAGATGTTCTTTGAAACCAACAAGAACAAAGACACAACATACCAGAATCTCTGGGATACATTCAAAGCAGTTTGTAGAGGGAAATTTATAGCACTAAATGCCCACAAGAGAAAGCAGGAAAGATCCAAAATTGACACCCTAACATCACAATTAAAAGAACTAGAAAAGCAAGAGCAAACACATTCAAAAGCAACAGAAGGCAAGAAATAACTAAAATCAGAGCAGAACTGAAGGAAATAGAGACACAAAAAACCCTTCAAAAAATTAATGAATCCAGGAGCTGGTTTTTTGAAAGGATCAACAAAATTGATAGACCGCTAGCAAGACTAATAAAGAAGAAAAGAGAGAAGAATCAAATAGACGCAATAAAAAATGATAAAGGGGATATCACCACTGATCCCACAGAAATACAAACTACCATCAGAGAACACTACAAACACCTCTACACAAATAAACTAGAAAATCTAGAAGAAATGGATAAATTCCTCAACACATACACCCTCCCAAGACTAAACCAGTAAGAAGTTGAATCTCTGAATAGACCAATAACAGGCTCTGAAATTGTGGCAATAATCAATAGCTTACCAACCAAAAAGAGTCCAGGACCAGATGGATTCACAGCCGAATTCTACCAGAGGTACAAGGAGGAACTGGTACCATTCCTTCTGAAACTATTCCAATCAATAGAAAAAGAGGGAATCCTCCCTAACTCATTTTATGAGGCCAGCATCATCCTGATACCAAAGCTGGGCAGAGACACAACCAAAAAAGAGAATTTTAGACCAATATCCTTGATGAACATTGATGCAAAAATCCTCAATAAAATACTGGCAAACCGAATCCAGCAGCACATCAAAAAGCTTATCCACCATGATCAAGTGGGCTTCATCCCTGGGATGCAAGGCTGGTTCAACACATGCAAATCAATAGATGTAATACAGCATATAAACAGAACCAAAGACAAAAACCGCATGATGATCTCAATAGATGCAGAAAAGGCCTTTGACAAAATTCAAAATTCAGCAACCCTTCATGCTAAAAACTCTCAATAAATTAGGTATTGGTAGGACGTATCTCAAAATAATAAGAGCTATCTATGACAAACCCACAGCCAATATCATACTGAATGGGCAAAAACTGGAAGCATTCCCTTTGAAAACTGGCACAAGACAGGGATGCCCTCTCTCACCACTCCTATTCAACATAGTGTTGGAAGTTCTGGCTAGGGGAATTAGGCAGGAGAAGGAAATAAAGGGTATTCAATTAGGAAAAGAGGAAGTCAAATTGTCCCTGTTTGCAGACGACATGATTGTATATCTAGAAAACCCCATTGTCTCAGCCCAAAATCTCCTTCAGCTGATAAGCAACTTCAGCAACGTCTCAGGATACAAAATAAGTGTACAAAAATCACAAGCATTCTTATACACCAACAACAGACAAACAGAGAGCCAAATCATGAGTGAACTCCCATTCACAATTGCTTCAAAGAGAATAAAATACCTAGGAATCCAACTTACAAGGGACATGAAGGACCTCTTCAAGGAGAACTACAAACCACTGCTCAATGAAATAAAAGAGGATACAAACAAATGGAAGAACATTCCATGCTCATGGGTAGGAAGAATCAATATCGTGAAAATGGCCATACTGCCCAAGGTAGTTTATAGATCCAATGCCATCCCCATAAAGCTACCAATGACTTTCTTCACAGAATTGGAAAAAACTACTTTAAAGTTCATATGGGACCAAAAAAGAGCCCGCATCGCCAAGTCAATCCTAAACCAAAAGAACAAAGCTGGAGGCATCATGGTACCTGACTTCAGACTATACTACAAGGCTACAGTAACCAAAACAGCATGGTACTGGTACCAAAACAGAGATATAGATCAATGGAACAGAACAGAGCCCTCAGAAATAACGCCACATATCTACAACTATTTGATCTTTGACAAACCTGACAAAAACAAGCAATGGGGAAAGGATTCCCTATTTAATAAATGGTGCTGGGAAAACTGGCTAGCCATATGTAGAAAGCTGAAACTGGATCCCTTCCTTACAACTTATACAAAAATTAATTCAAGATGGATTAAAGACTTAAACGTTAGACCTAAAACCATAAAAACCCTAGAAGAAAACCTAGGCATTACCATTCAGGACATAGGCATGGGCAAGGACTTCATGTCTAAAACACCAAAAGCAATGGCAACAAAAGACAAAATTGACAAATGGGACCTAATCAAACTAAAGAGCTTCTGCACAGCAAAAGAAACTACCATCAGAGTGAACAGGCAACCTACAAAATGGGAGAAAATTTTCGCAACCTACTCATCTGACAAAGGGCTAATATCCAGAATCTACAATGAACTCAAACAAATTTACAAGAAAAAAACAAACAACCCCATCAAAAAGTGGGCGAAGGACATGAACAGACACTTCTCAAGAGAAGACATTTATGCAGCCAAAAAACACATGAAAAAATGCTCACCATCACTAGCCATCAGAGAAATGCAAATGAAAACCACAATGAGATACCATCTCACACCAGTTAGAATGGCAATCATTAAAAAGTCAGGAAACAACAGGTGCTGGAGAGGATGTGGAGAAATAAGAACACTTTTACACTGTTGCTGGGACTGTAAACTAGTTCAACCATTGTGGAAGTCAGTGTGGCGATTCCTCAGGGATCTAGAACTAGAAATACCATTTGACCCAGCCATCCCATTACTGGGTATATACCCAAAGGACTATAAATCATGCTGCTATAAAGACACATGCACACGTATGTTTATTGTGGCACTATTCACAATAGCAAAGACTTGGAACCAACCCAAATGTCCAACAACAATAGACTGGATTAAGGAAATGTGGCACATATACACCATAGAATACTATGCAGCCATAAAGAATGATGAGTTCATGTCCTTTGCAGGGACATGGATGAAATTGGAAATCATCATTCTCAGTAAACTATCGCAAGAACAAAAAACCAAACACCACATATTCTCACTCATAGGTGGGAATTGAACAATGAGGACGCATGGACACAGGAAGGGGAACATCACACTCTGGGGACTGTTGTGGGGTGGGGGGAGGAGGGAGAGATAGCATTAGGAGATATACCAAATGCTAAATGACAAGTTAATAGGTGCAGCACACCAGCATGGCACATGTATACATATGTAACTAACATGCACATTGTGCACATGTACCCTAAAACTTAAAGTATAATAATAATAAAATAAAATTTAAAAAAGAAACCTAAAAAAAAAAAAAAGATTTTCCTGCCCTGCTGGATTTCAGACTTCATGAGGCCTGTAGCCCCCTTTGTTCTGGCCAATTTCTCCCATTTGGAATGGCTGTATTTACCCAATACCTTTGCCCCCATTGTATTTAAAAAGTAACTAACTTGCCTTTGATTTTACAGGCTCATAGGCAGAAGGTACTTGCCTTGTCTCAGATGAGATTTTGGACTGTGGATTTTTGAGTTAATGCTGAAACGAGTCAAGACTTTGGGGGAATATTGGGAAGGCATGATTAGTTCTGAAATGTGAGGACATGAGATTTAGCGGGGGATAGGGGTGGAACAATATGCTTTGGCTGTGTCCCCACCCAAATCTCATCTTGAATTCCCATGTGTTGTGGGAGGGACCTGGTGGGAGGTAATTGAATCATGGGGGTAGGTCTTCCTGTGCTGTTCTTGTGATAGTGAATAAGTCTCACGAGATCTGACGGTATTATAAGGGGGAGTTTCCCTGCATAAGCTCTCTGTTTGCCTGCTGCCATCCGTGTAAGGTGTGACTTGCTCCTCCTTGCCTTCTGCCATGGTTGTGAGGCTTCTCCAGCCACATGGAACTGTGAGTTCTCCATTAAACCTCTTTCCTTTGTAAATTGCCAAGTCTCATGTATGTCTTTATCAGCAGCATGAAAACGGACTAATACTAAGGCCAAATAAGTACATTTACAATGGTGATAGTGACATCAATGACTAAAGCTTTGGTCAACTTCTCAAAATTGAAAAGATGAACAAAAGGGGAGAATTGTTAAATCCAGTTTAGCCTAAAGCTGCCTCCTGACATATTTAAGTTCAGCCTAAAGGTTTCTCTGTACATCATAGACTATAACAAGTGGAGGTGTAAACAGACTGTAGCCTACACTTGTGCCAATCACTGAGTTTTGGGCAAGCAAATGTAGACAACTGTTCAAACCATGTTCAAATAAGGTAAATGCCAAACTGTAAACAATCCAGCTGTTTCTGTCCCTCACTTCTGTTTTCTTTGCATCACTTCCCTTTTTCTTTCCATAAATCTTCTTCCCCCACGTGGCTGTGCAGGAGTCTCTGAGCCTATTCTGGCTTAGGGGGCTGCCCAACTCACAAATCATTCATTGCTCAATTAAATTCCTTTAAATTTAATTCAGCTGAAGTTTTTCTTTTATCAGATGTGATATAAGCCATCTCTTTGTCTTCCACAAAATATCTGATAAGATTGACATTGTTCTCTGAAGCTTTATGAACAGCCTTTGCTTGATGCAGATGTGATGTAGGCTGAACCCTGTTTTCAAAGCTGGAGGAGATGGCTCCCAAGGACCCATCACACCTGGGTTAGAGATAAATGAAGTCCAGGCCATCTTTTTCTGCTTGCCCCCCTTCCCCCACCATTATTTATTTTCCTTTTCTTCTAAATGTACAGCCTTGTTTTCTAAGCTTGTACCCTTAGTAATTATACTTCTGCTACAAAATACTTTATTAGGCCCTATAGGGGATCTAGATGCGGATATGATAGGGTTCCTCTGGAGTTTACAGGAACCTCATACATCATTTAGATGAAGCAGAGTTGGATACGAGGTTCTACTATGTAAAATAATCATTAAGGATATCAGCATTTTGGTCATTGCAATACTGCCAAGTTGGTGTTGGATTGTAACTGTGTCCAATCAGTTCCTGATTAACTGTTTTCTAATGAGCAGATCACAAGTGAAACCTTTAAAATATAAGTTGGTAAAATCCTAACAATGTGCTCTCTCATCTTACATAGAAACTGCTAATAGATCGGACTGTATTTTGCTGCCAGCAATATGAAATTGAAGCCGCCTCTGCAAAATTATAACTGAGACAGTGAAAGAGATCTAACCTAACCGACTCCATCTTGCTTCTAACCTTTAAGCTGTCCTTGTTCCTTCCTGGGCGTAGGCTGAACTAACTTTGGGAGGAGCTTAGTTTATAGTTTAAAACAAAGACGACAACAGCCCTTTTCCAAAACAAACCTTCTTCTTGCCTGGGGACTAGACTGCCTTTGTAGGACTAAGAAATTAGCCACAAAATTAGAAATTATGGTTTAGGAGTTATACAGTTGGAGGCTACAAGATTCTGACCCTCCCTAACCTACTCCCAAGATCAATGCTTGAGATATTTTGCAGGCCCTGCATTTGATGGATCAGCTGGCACCACCTATACATCGATAAACTGGCCCTCAACCAGGAACTGACTCAGTTCAAAAGGACAGCTTCAACTTCCCATGATTTCATCTCCAACCCAACCAATCAGCACTCTCAACTCACTGGGCTTCCCCACCCACCAAATTATCCTTAAAATCTTTGCTCCCTGAATGCTCTGGGAGACTGATTTGAGTAATAATAAAACTCCAGTCTCCACACAGCCAGCTCTGCATGAATTACTCTTTCTCTATTGCAATTCCCCTGTCTTGATAAATTGGCTCTGTCTAGGCATCGGGCAAGGTGAACCCACTGGGTGGTTACAAAATAATGGCCAGAGCAATGCTTTTGGATCATGTTTAAAATACTAGTAATTTAAACATGAATTTTCCATGTCTGGAAAATTTAGTGCAGCTTCTTAAACTTTAATGTACATGCATATAATTTGGAGAACTTGTTAAAATGCTTATTCTGATTCAGCAGGTCTGAGGTTCAGCCCAAGATTCTGCATTTTTAATAAGTTCTCAGGTGATGCCCATGCTGGAGGTTCATGGACCACACTTTTGAGTAATAAGGGTTTAGTGGATGGTGACTGTTTCCTCTCTTGCATTTTCTGCAGTTATGAAGAAGGGGAAGAGCAGAGCCTGCAGGTATGAGCTCCCGAATTGACATTTCCTATCTTTAGAGTCCAGGAAAATTGTATTGCATTTACTTTCTAAATATTTGCTTTTCTGATCCCAAGATTGTTCTTCATGTACCTGTATAGGCCACACTTTCGGCAATCCGAGGACTCACACAATGATATTAAAATAAAGTTGTTTGTTTGTTTTGGGTGAACCATGATTTTAATATAGCAAACTCAAAGGAGCCAGAAGACATGAGGGTTGACTCACCAGTCACAATGGTGTTGTCACATTGTTTATCCGTATGATAAGCCAGACAGCTATTGCAGGAAGCTGTCAGTTCACCAAGTCCAAGTTTGAGAAGGTTATTTTTCACTTGATATTTAAAGAAAGCAGAAATAAGATGCTGGGCCAAAAACTGTGTCAGAAGATGGGCTGGAATAATTTCTTTCAAGAAGCTCAGTGGCAATACTATCTTATAGTTGTTTATTGATTTACCATTACAGAGCACCTTCATCTGAGTTATATCATTTAATCTTCATGAAAACCCTAGGAGGTAGCCTTGAAAAAAAAAAAAAAACAGAGAAAGAAACAAGGGCCAAGAGATAGTGATTTGTTCAAAATCACTTGCTAGAGTGGATCTGGGACTAGAACAGAAGTCTTCTAGCCTAGTCATCTTCTTATGACAACATTGGTAACTATATCACATGGATGTTTCTGTTATGCCTTCTCAAGAAGGCATCAATAATTGATCCCAGAAGTGTTTTTCACTCGAGCCCTTAGCTTCACAATCCTCCCAACTCTATGCCCCAGAAAGCTAAAAAGCCACTGCCAAGGAAATGGATGTGGTGTGGGACAAGAAACCTATTTTCCTCCTGGCAACACTAACTTTTATTATCCACAAGGACTAATTACAAAGAGATCCACTTTTCTTGGGTATCTGTAAGAGGATAAGCATTCATTTTTCAGGTTTGGTTAAGGATTATTCATGTGGGGGCAGAGAATGACTCTGGAGGCCCTTGTCAACCCTGGAATTCCAGGAAGTTAACCTTATAGTTTCCCCATGCCATTGCCCTGATGTTACAGTGAGAGGCTATACAGGCTGAGGCAGGCTGAATTCTAAGATAGGTCCCAGGATTCCTACCCCCTGACGTTCACCCCATGTAACATCCTCCTCTTGGATTTGATTGAGACTTCTGATCTACTTCTGATCAATAGAATATGGTAAAGGTAAAGGGATTTTTGTAGTTGTAATCAAGGCCCCAAATCAGTGTGTTTTGAGTTAATCAAAAGGGAGATTATCCTGGATGGACCTGGTTTAATCAGGTACAGGACTCTCTCTTAGGTCAGACTCTCTGCTGTTGGCTTTGAAGTACACTGCCATGTTGTGAGAGAAAGGAGAGGATCGCCTGGCAAGGAACTTCAAGTGACCTTTGGAGCTGAGAGTAGCCCCTGGCCACAGCCAGCGAGAAAAGGGACTTCAGTCATATGAACACAAGGAAATGAGTTCTACCTGTGATCTTTGGAAGCAGATCTTTCCCAGTTGAGCCCCCCAGATGCAAATGTAGCCTGGCTGACACCTTGCTTGCAGTCTTGGGAGACCCTAAGCAGAGGGCCCAGTTAAGCCATGTCCGGCTTCTTGACCCACAGGAACTGTGGAGTAGTAAAAGGGTGTTGTTTTAAGCTGCTAAATTTGTGATAACTTTTTATGCGGTGATAGAAAACTAACTCACATGCCTTTTATTACATCTCGCTTAAATCTTAATCTTGCCTCTATTTCTCAATTGTGGATGTATTTACCTATTCAAAATGTAAGGTAGGCCGGGTGTGGTGGCTCACGCCTGTAATCTCAGCACTTTGGGAGGCCAAGGTGAGCAGATCACTTGAGGTCAGGAGTTTGAGACCAGCTTGGCCAACATGGCAAAACCCTGTCTCTACTAAAAATACAAAAATTAGCCAGGCGTGGTGGCGCGTGCCTATGATCCCTGCTACTCCAGAGGCTGAGGCAGGAAAATCGCTTGAATCCTGGAGGTGGAGCTTGCAGTGAGCTGAGATCGCACCATAGCACTCCAGCCTGGGCAACAGAGTGAGACTCTGTCTCAAAATAATCATAATCATAATCATAATCATAAAAAGGTAAAGCTCATCTAGACTTAATTTTGTCTGAACTTGACAACAACAGGACCATCAAGGAGGCAGAATCCTTCCCTGGAAAAAGGGGAAGACTTCATGTCACCACATTTCTACATATCCCCACATTTCTGAATGCTATTGTAGCCAAGCTGACAGCTGACCATGAAATCAGTACAAACACAGAACAATCCTTACACATTACCGTGATTTTCCAACTTTTACCAAAAACCACTAAGGCAAAAATGCCATTTAATGGTATGCATTCTGGGCAGTACTGCTTGAAAGTCCTGTTGGAGTAGGCAATGAAACTTGACTTAATATCTTGGTAATTAAAACTAAATTCTAAATTTTCTTTAGTAGGACTTCCTAGCACAATGTGGGCTGAGGGAATCCATCCATTCACTTAATCATTTAATGTTGACTATGAGGCCACACACAGTACTGGGCAGCAGGAATACAATGGTGATTAAGACAGGATACTTACCCTCGAGTTGCTAGAGGAGAAGACAGGCAGGTAAACTGATAATTACAAATCAATACAATTGAAAAGGGCTATGTGACAATCAGGAGACTGGAAGAAAAACTTGTCTCCAAAGATCACTATACTGAAATGTATTGTTTACCTTTGTCTATTGCTATTACTATTCTTTACATTCCAGATGTTTAGCACTGTCTGCATATCATAGGTACTCAATACTGTATTGGAACTAAGACAACATTAATTAAGATCATATAATTTTATATCTCACCTAAAAGAAAAAAAATGTTGCTAATGAAACTTTGGCATACCAGAGTTCCTAAACAGATTCTGGTTTCAGAAACGTTTAAGTGTAGAGGGAAATGCTCACCTTAGAATTGATTTATAGTATGTAATCACTGAACTCTTTTATTGGATTTCTAGGGCAAGTATGGAAGGAACAAATAGAGATGTCAGAGTGGATACCAGAAATAAAAGGTATGCTGTCGGCATGTCATCTAGCACTGCACACTGCTGACTCAAACCAGATTATCAAAGGAGTGACCTCCCAAGTTCTCACTGTAAGACAGACAAAGCCATGTGAGACGTCTTTAAACAGTTCTAAAAGTTGCAAGGTCCTAAAGCTATGAAAGAATGCAAGATCCCATAAAGTTTAACATTTTTTAGTTATTAGATAGAAAATACATTCACTTATCTTCTTAGAATCTCATCTAGTTCAGAGGTCGTTAAAGTTAAACAAATAGCCGAGCATGGTGGCTCATGCCTGTAATCCCAGCACTTTGGGAGGCCAAGGCAGGAGGACCCCTTGAGCCGAGGAGTTCAAGGTCAGCCTGGGCAACATAGCAAGACCTCGTCTCTACAAAAAATCAAAAAATTAGCTGGTTGTGGTGGTGCATGCCTGTGGTCCCAGCTACTCAGGAGGCTGGGATGAGAAGATGGCTTGGACAGGGGAGGTTGAGGAGGCAGTAAGCCATGATTGTGCCAGTGTCCTCCAGCATGGGTGACAGAGCAAGACCTGTCTCAAAGAAAAATTAAAAGATTAAAAAATAAAGTTAAGCAAGCAAATAAAAACATCTACTATCAAATTGGGTTACTTTGTGTCACCTAAAAATTCATATGTTGAAGTCCTAAACCCTTGTACCTCAGAATGGATAAGATCATTGCAGATGTAATTAGTTAAGATGAGGTCATATTGGGGCAAGGTGGGTCCCTAAATACCTGTTGTCTTTATAAAAGGGGAAAATTTAGACAGAGACATGAACAGGGGAAGAACACCACGTGAACATAAAAACAGAGATCAGGGTGATGCGTCTACCAGCCAAGGAATGCCAAAGATGGCCAGCAAACCAGCCAACCACCAGAAGCTAGGAGAGGCATGGAACAGTGTCTCTCTCATAGCCCCCAGAAGGAACCAAATTGGCTAAGACCTTGATCCTGGACTTCTAGTCTCCAGAGCTGTGAGACAATAAATTTCTGTTGTGCAAGCAACCCAGACTGTGGTATTTGTTATTGCAGCCCTAGCAAATGAATATATCCACATATCTGCAGAGCTAAAGAAAGGCCATATCCAATCACGTGGCCAGCCTCGGTGGGTGCTGCAGACTTCTGTGAATAGGCAGAATCAAGTAGCCTGAGTCAGGAAACAAAACCCTTTCAACATTTCAGAACCTGTGACACAATGTCTATAAAAAGACAGTCTGACAGGGAGAAGATCTCATGTCTGACCAAAATTTTTGATCATTAGAAACCTCTAATAATGAGGGTGGTAATTGCCATCCTTAGCAGATGGGCAACCTTAGTTGACCAGGATGGTAGCACTTTTCCCAGTTTTTCCATCCTGGGAAGATGAAGAATTAGGTATATGATGGTATATATAAGAGAATCAAAACCAAGATTAGTATTTTTTTTAAATTAGTGGGCTTTATTTATTTTTATTTATTTATTTATTTATTTATTTGAGATGGAGTCTTGCTCTGTTGCCCAGGCTGGAGGGCAGTGGCGCAATCTAGGCTCACTGCAACTTCCGCCACCTGGTTCAAGTGATTCTCCTGCCTCAGCCTCCCTGTAGCTGGGATTACAAGTGCACGCCAGCACGCCCAGCTAATTTTTGTATTTTTAGTAGAGATGGGGTTTCACCATGTTGGCCAGGCTGATTTGGAACTCCTGACCTCAAGTGATCTGCCTGCCTCGGCCTCCCAAAGTGCTGGGATTACAGGCGTGAAACACCACACCCAACTGATGTTAGTATGTTTTTTATGAAGTAAGAGTCAGTATATATTTGATATGTGCCAGGTGCCCTTTGTCCTCTCATAAAACTTACTACCATCCAAGCTGGAGAGGCACAGGGCTCATGTTGACCCATGAAAGCAGATTGTTATATTTTCAAAAATTTTGCAAGCTCTTATTAAACACTGTTCCAGTCCTTACAACTATACAAAAATGATAGCTAGCATTGTTGAAAACAACATGGCTGAAGCTGAAAGAGGTTTCAATTTAGGGACTAGAATTCGTACAAGGGTGGGAAATAGTTTAACAGCAGATGACATCAGATCAAATGGCAATACTTTTATGGAGAAAAGAGTTAGCAGATAGGGATGCAGCTCCATTTGTCAAATCATGGTTGAACGGCAGCCACAGTTGCAGTCACAGACACAAGAGTTTGGCAAAAATCAACAAAGGCATTCAGTGAGATTCAACTGACCACATGGAATTTACAATAAAGGGTATTGTATAGTTGATTATTACTTGGAAGTTGTGTGCTACATATATTTACTAACATTCCTTTTCTCCCACAGCCAGTTGTTAAACACTTACCCCACTAGGGAGACAGACCATTAACAAATACACGGATAATAAATACGGTAAATTCAGGTGGTAGTAAGAGTTGTGAAGGAATTTGAGCAGAGTGATGTGGCCGAGAGTGACTGATGGGTGGGAAAGTCTTATGACACGGGCAGGGTTGTGAATGGGGAGAGTTAGCCAGCACATGAGGATCAGGGAGGTTATAGGTAGAAGGAAGAGCAAGCCCAAAGGCCATAAGGGAGGAAAAAATTTGCACGTTGCTATCATTGCTATTGTTAGCAGAATCTGCACTTGAGACCCCAGATCCAAGGATTCCACTCATCCCTTTCTTTCCCAGTCTGTAGCTGGGCAGTTGCTCAGGGTCACGATCTATTTGGCCCTGAAAGAAACACCTGGGGTTCCTGACTTCCTCCACAACGTTTCAGACACTATCAGAGTTCTGTATGGTTTAGATTATAAATGTTCTATGTATTCCTTTCTTGTTTCTCTTCTTTGGTGGAATTTGAAGCCATGGAACCTATATTTTTCCATTTTCCTTGTTCCTAAACTATCTTTCTTACCCAGGTCTAAACTAGATTCCATTGGATGTCTGAGGTCCACCTCCAAATTTTCTCCCATGGTAGAGTTGTGTAACCCAAAAATAAAATTCTAAGCCCTCCAACCCTCTGAATGGACTCCTCCTCTCGGCAAGGGCATCCCAAAGTTAACCTGAAAAAACAAGTTCAGGCCATTATGGAAAGTGGGAGCCAGACATGCCTCATTATACCCTCTTCCTTTTTGGAATTACTGACAGAACAGACTCTTTAAGTCTGATAAGAAACATTTACAAGCTCTCTGAAGCCTGCTACCTGGAGGCTTCATCTGCATGATAAATCTTTGGTGTCCACAACCCCTTATCATAACCCAGACATTCCTTCCGTCCTTTCTATTGATAATTACTCTTTCAACTAATTGCCCAGAAAATCTTTAAATCCTCCTATGACCTGGAAGCAGCCACCCCATCTCCAGGTGCTTCCAGTTGTCCCACCTTTCTAGACTGAATGAATGTACATTTTACATGGGATGATTGATGTCTTGCCTTATGTCTCCCTAAAATGTATAAAACCAAGTTGTGGCTCAACCACCTTGGGCACATCAGGACCTCCTGCGTCAGGAGGTCACAGGAGGCTGTATCATGGGTGCATCCTTAACCTTAGCCAAAAAAATCTCTAAGTTCTTTGAGATCTGTCGCAGATACTTTTGGTTTACGGTTGTGATTCCTCCAAGTGCCTCATTGCTAGGCTCATTTAATGATGTGGTTGGGGCTAGCAATTCTTTTTTTCAGTTTGGCTTTGGAAATTTACAGCTCCTAAAGTCAAACCAAAGTTTTGGGGCAGGTGTTTTGATTTTATATACCTTCAGTAATTGCACTTACTTGGTCCTTGTTGGTTCCTGAAATTCAGATCCTGCCTAGGCTCTGGGGAAATGCTCAAAGGATGTTTCTTTGTCATATAACAACAACACAGTCAACTCTTAAATGTCATGACTGTAATTCATTCCTTAATGATGGTGCAAATGAGTTAAATCTTTCATATTGTAGACTTTTAACTTTGCAAACATCCTTTAAAAAGCCATTACAGGGATATGCTCACTCCAACAGAGAAGTGCTTTGGCTGCAGCATGAAATAGCTAATTCATAATTTAAAGTATGATGCCTCTCCCTTTTCCCCTTTTTAGATAGTTTATAAAAAGGGAAACTTTCTCCTGTGTGTGCTGAGGGGCTGGATTTTTCACTGGCTGTTTGCCTTCCGAGCACTTTCTTCATGGCCAGCACTTATGAGCAAGCCTGGTGTGTTTAACTTAGCTGGTGAAATGATCAACGGTAAACGTCAGTTGCTGACATTAGAGCCAGCTGCTTGAAGTGTCAGCGCAGCTGCTTTGTGAGATGAGAACAAGATCTTACTGCTGCTCCTTGTTCCGTGGCGAGGCAACAAGAAAATGCCCATTATGAACCAAGGGGCTCATAACACATTCATTTTTACTCCTTTTACCACCAGCTCAGATTTCTATAGAGTGAAACCTAAGTTCAGAAATCTGGAAGCAAATGCAAAAAAAATGTACCCCTGCTTCTGAAACTGTGCTCTATTACTCACGGATTTCAGGATCTGCTTTTTCTTTTTTTTGATTGTATGACTCACATAGATTTTAAGGAACCACCCATGAGGGCCCCTATGCATTTGGATAATTAAGATTCTTCCTGGGTGAAGAGCAACAGTCCCTTCTTTCTGAATGACTGAAGATTTAAGAGCTCTGCATGCCCTGAACTACACTGTCCTGCGGTGAGGCTTTGTTTTCCCTTGTTCTGGTCCTGCTGGACCTAGAGATTGGGGTGCGAAGGTGCTTAGGGTGCAACAAAGGAAAGAATTGAGCAGGCCTGGACAATGTCACCTCACCAAAGCGGGGGCAGAAGGCAGCAGAGGAAAGGTGCTTAGTGCAAGCCTAAGGATCTTGTAAGCCTTTGTAGCCCGGACTCTGACCAGCCTGTTGTTTCTTTAACATCCTGCATTCAAGTATTTGATGCAAATATGATTGCCTCTAGGCAAGAGAATATAAATATTTGCCGAATGTATAATTGAATGGAAAAAATAGCTGTGTAAGTGAGGACAGCGATGATCTCTTCTTGCCTTCTTCTCTTTGTCCTGCTCCCTCTCCTTTCTTCCTTGGTTTTCAAAGAATTCAAAACAAAACAAAACAAAACAAAACAAAATGTAGAAACCTGTTTTGTCCTGGGAGTGTAGTTTCACCAGCTCCCTGCTGTTCCAGTCTATCCAAGCTGTCAATCAAAGCAAACAACAGAAGTTGGCTAGCATTCAAAGGAAAAATGTGTTTTATTACACATTTTGACATATGTTGGATGATTTAGTAAGATCATGGTGCCTTGTCTCATTTTCGAAGACTTCCTGAGTTCATTTTTTTTTCTTTTTTTCATAACTTTCATTGAACTTTTAATGGCCTTTTTGTATTTTTCTCATGGAGGATGCTTCATTAATAGAGGGACTATGTCCAGTAGGAAAATATAAAGTGGTTTTTTATTTTTAGAGAAAACAGGTACTAATATGAAATGGATGAAGTGCCTTCCAAGCCCATGGTTTCCAGGCTGTGTACCAAGGTGCCCTGGGGTGCCACTGGATATTTTAGAATTGTAAGGAAAGCACAGTGATACCTGACACCCATTCAGGTACCACACAAACTATTAGCTCACGGTAGTTGACAGCGTCACCATTAGATTGTGCAACATTTCAACATTTCTTTTGATTATGTCATATTACTTGTGAAGCTGGGTCTACTGTGCCTATCCTGTGGCACTACGTGCAGAAACATGAAACAGGAAATGAGGGTGGTGGTGTCCAGTCTAATTCCAAGGCTTGAGAAGTGAGAAAAGAGGCTGGGCATGGAGGCTTACTCCAGTAATCCTAGCATTTTGGGAGATCGTGGCAGGAAGATTGCTTGAACCTGGGAATCTGGGACCAGCCTGGGAAACACAGAGGAAGACCTTGTCTCTACAAAAATAAAAATAAAAATTAGCTGAGTGTAGTGGTGTACAGTGGTAGTCCCGGCTACTCTGGAGGCTGAGGTGGGAGGATGGCTTGAGCCCAGGAGTTGGAGGCTGCAGTGGGCTATAATCATGCCACTGCATTTCAGCAGAGCAAGACCCTGTTTCAAAACAAAACAAAGAAATGAGAGAGAGAGAAAAAGAGAGAGAGAAAGAGAGAGGAAAGAAGAAGATAAAGAAGCAGAAGGAGAAGAAGAAGAAGAGGAAGAAGAAGAAGAATAAGAAGCAGCAGCAGCTAAGAGAAGAGAAGAGGCGAGAAGAACTTTTATCTGAGGAATCCAAATCCTTTTAAATTACCAAGCCCAGAGAGACATTAAAATCAAACAGCAATCACATTCTATCGCCTCCTTTGAGCTACATATTCATCTCTTGAAATTGCTTGCTATTGCTACAAGTATCTATAAATTAACCTAATAATGTTGCATCAGACAATACAACCCATACCCTATAGCTGAACAATGTATAGCCTATCACTAATCAATGTTATTTCTGTAAACTAATGAGAATTCCTGATAAATAACTTTGTATCAGCTTACTCCCTGTTCCTTTTTTTTTTTTTTTTTTTTTGCCTTTAAAAACCTGCTTATTAACAAAGTCCAAAGGAAGCTTGTATTCCAGGTTCCTAGGGTCTGAATCTCTGGGGCAGCTGTCCTCACTTTCACTCAAGTAAACTCTTTAAATTATATTTTGTGCCTCAGCGTCTTCCTTTTAGTTTGACAGAAGTTATGCAGTGTTCAACAGGAAAATGCATCCCATTAATAGGTAACTTTAATTATTTAAGAATGAAATAAAATTATTTTATTTCAATTTTTATATACAGTTTTTCAGACTAAGTTGTTAGGTCATAAATATTTATCAAGTTGCTTAGACCTAATTAACAAATAGCTCTGGTAGGCGTTTCTTTTGGTTTAGGGACGGGGCACTGAAAAATTTACTGAGACTCTGAGAGTGCCACAAACAAAAAAAAAAGCTGGGTAGTTTTGGACCAAGTTATCTAAGAAATAAATATGCATAAGAGCATGAGAATAACTGAGGAATATGAAATAAAACTTACATTGGAGATGAATATGCAAGGTACTGGAAATCTAGGGGCATGTGGCAGCAGGTATAGAAATGCCAGCTGATCCTTGGGGAGGGACTTTTCTGTGGCAGCGTCGTGACAGGGGTAGCGATACATGGCTCCCAGGCCACCTCTCATTTTGCCCCACACTATTGACGGATGTCACTGGTCCATTTGGACATACTTTCCCATGGAGTTTACATGCATCTTCAGAATCCTTCTCAACTTAGTGATTCAAGCAACCAGTGATCTATCAGAGGTGACACAGGAGACAAAACCTACTTACTCTTCCTGTTCTAAGTCAAATTCCCAGCCTTACAGTCTCAAAAACTGAAAATTTCTCATTCTGTCAGGACTTTTGTAGCACCTGTGATCGAGCCTGTCCCTGGCATGCAGAGTCATACTTAAATAATGAAGGGAATCCATTGTAGGAGCCAAATCCCAACTCCAGAATTTGTCCCAAGCCCCTGACCTACCCCCTGCCTGCTTTGACAGATACTCTTGGCTTCTCTCCCTCCCACCTCACCCATTCCGTGAAACCTCTTTAGTTGGGAGCTGGTGTTCAATCTTCTCCTCTGTGTTCAGTCCCCCTGGTCACCTCTAGACTCGCTTTGCTGGTGTTGACCTCAATAGCCCTCCAGGACACGGCTCTTGGGATCTATGCCCTGATGTTGCTGGGGTCTTAGGTAGAAGCCCCACCCCTCATTAAGCAATCTCAGGTCCCACTCCTCCCCAAGTCACTATTTCAGGGAGATGGTTTGGGTTAGACCTTGATGTTCTCAAATTTGGGAGAATTTGCTCAAACTAATAGGACTTGTTGTGATAGGTTAATGTGCTCTGTTAAGATGGATGGATTTTATTTAGCAGGCAATTGGTGGTTGCTCAGGTCTATCTGGGGAAAGTAACTTGGGTTGTATGATGGATAAATTGGAAAGAGAGCGTTCTTAGGAGAAAGGACCTGATGTTTTAGCTGTCTGCAATCTTAATTACAAGCTCTGAGAATATAGGAATAAAAATCAAGTGCTTTTTCTCTTCTCTCCCTCACCAACAATCAACACAGAAGACTTCTGTGACCTCTGGTCACTGACCAGTATGTAGGGATTTCTCCCCACCAACAACCAATCAGTTCTGCAGTGAATGCCAGCTATGTGTCTTATAATTCGGCTCTAACACTGTCTACCTGGAGATACCATCAGAACTCAGAGTTGAGCGCTCAGTCCCACAAGACTGTCCTCCACTTGTGATGCCAATCACACGCTCCAGACTGTTTGACCTGTCCTTCTGACTGACCGGCTTCAAGTTGGGGCTCTTACGATGCTCTCCTTGGATTTGATTAATTTGCTAAAGTAGCTCCCAGAACGCAGGAAAACACTTTACTCAACATTTTTTCATTTATTGTAAAGGACACAGATGAAGACATGCATGGGGCAAGGCACGTGGGAAGATTCACGGAACGTCCAGACCTTCTCTAGATGTTCCATTATCCAGGAACCTCCATATGTTCAGCTATCTGGAAGTTCTCTGAACCCAGTCCTTTTGGACTTTTATGGAAGTTTCATTATGTAGGCATGATTGACTAAACCCTGGAAGTTGAATGGTGGGGCTAAAGTCTGAACCCTCTAATCCTGCCTTGGTTTTTCTGGTGACTAGGCCCCATCCTGAAGCTCCCTAGGGGCTGCCAGCCACCAGTCATCTCATTAGCGTAGAAAGATACTTATTGCTTTGAAGATTCCAAAATTTTAGGAGTTCTATGCCAGGAAATGGGGATGAAGAGCAAGTATATAGTTCACTTTCACAATATCACACGAGCCAATCCATAATGGGGCTTCATGGCTGCACAGCAGTCCGATGTCAACATGCTAGAGAAATTTAGCATACATCTCCAGAAAGGACATATCTGTTCTCTATCCTGCACTGGTCAGACTCTGTCTGTGTTGCACTGTTCAGTTTCAAGAGTCAGATTTAAAACAGACGACGATGTGACAAAGACTCTCTCTTTGACCAAACTTTAGTCAGGCTCCCCTGAGCCCCTTTTTCAGTGAAGCTTCAAAGAACTTGGCATCCATCCTGACTTTGGCCTGTCTAGCCTAGTTGTAGCAAGAATCACACTAAGTCAGTTTAGCAAGAATCTCTCCACCCTTGATATCTGACCACTCTGGCCTGCCTTCAGCAAGAACCCTCCTACCCCAAATGTCCCCTATTTTTACTTTTCTATCCACTGACCCCTCACTCTGCCCCTTGGCTATAAATCCCCAGCTATCTTTGTTGAGCCTGATCTCTCTCTCCTATTGCAGTTTTGAATAAAGTCTTCCTTACTGTTGGGGCTCACAACACCATACCCCAAAATATGGCACCTTGGAAACTGAGAAGACAGCAGAAGCAGAAAGATCACACTCTGACCTTCTCCACCTTTTTCCCCTGAGGCCATAGAAAGAGTTCTCTGATCTACCTCCCCTGAAAGTGGGTCATAAGACCTTCATTCCAGAGGGGGATCTGCCCTATAGCCAGGCAGAAGATTCTGAACAAACAGGCCTTGCTAAGTTACCCCAAGTTTATTACCATTAGATCTGTCAAACAAACAAAATTTCAACATGTGTAGTTTAAAGATCTCATTGACTTTGATTATCAACTCATAAATTGAGCAGTATTCCATCTGAAGATGAGCTGAGCAGAGGAGATGGGCTTTATAGGCAAAAAAGGCAGAAGAAAGGAGAAGCAAGGAGCAAAAACTGGATTGGTCATCATAAAGTTACTTTTCTTATAGGCTTAAAACAGAGGGGACTTTCTTATCATGCTGGCTGAAGTAAACTGGGCCCTGTGTAATTGGTTGCTGTGAATCTACTGTTTTTTGGTGCAGGAACTCAGTCCAAAACAATGGCCTCCCATCAATTTTCTTTAACAGATTGATGAGGTTTGGATATTTGTCCCTTCCAAATCTCATGCTGAAATGTGATCCCCACTGTTGGAGGTGGGGCCTAGTGGGAGGTGTTTGGGTCATGGGGGCAGATCCCTCATAAATGGCGTGGTGCTGTCATTATGGTAATGAGTGAGTTCTCACTCTATCAGTTCATACAAGAGTTGATTATTTAAGAGCCTGGCACCTCCTCCCCCTCTCTGGCTCCTTCTCTCGCCATGTGACACGCCTGCTCTGCCTTTGCCTTCCGCCATGATTGTAAGCTTCCTGAGGACCTCACCAGATGCAGATGCTGGCACCATCCTTCTTATAGAGTCTGCAGAAGAGGGCCAAATAAACCTCTTTTCTTTATAAATTACCCAGTCTCAGGTATTCTTTTGTAGTAAGGCAAAATAGACTAATACACAGGTCATACCCTTTGTCCTCTAATCACACTTCTGCATAACCGTCCATAAAAATACAGTTTCCCTTGGGTCATTGAGTCTTCATTTCTGAAGGCTCTTGTGTCACCTAAAAACTTTGATGAAATAAATTTGTTGTGCTTTTCTCTTGTTAATCCATCTTTCGTTATAGGGATGTCAGCCATAAATCTTGCAATGGGTAAGGAAAAGATATTACTTTCTCTCCCCTATATTACCATTTTAACAAGTGTCAGAATAATTTTTTCTTTACCAATTTATACACTATAAGGTGTTCTGAAGGGGTGACCAAAAAGTGAAAATTCTTAAAATCACATTACAGTTATGTGCTGCATTGTGACGGTCCAGTCAATGATGGACCACATAAGATTATAATGGAGCTAAAGAATTTCTATTGCCTAGTGACGTTGTAGCCATCATAATGTCGTAGCACAACAAATTACCTTATGTTTAGGTATGTTTAGATACACAAATATGTAATCATTGTGTTACAGCTGTATCCAGTATTCAGTACAGTAACATGCCATGCACATTTGTAACCTAGGAGCAATAGGCTAAAGCATATAGCTATAGACTAAAAATAAAATGCTAAGCCCCTACTAACTGAACAGACACTCTCTTGGCCAAGGAGACCCCAGGAAACCTCAAAAATTGAATTCCCAGCCATGATGGGAAGGGAGGTTAGACATGTCTTGTTATGTCCCCTCTCTTTTGCAGTTTAGGCACAATTGACCAGCATTAATGTTAGAATAGAGATCATAAGATGAACAAAACAGTCTCTTTGTGACAATAAGACACCACATTATAAACAGGACCTAAGGCCATACCGGACAAGGGTTAAGTCACACACCCCTTATAGCTCACTCTGTATTGGTTAACAGACTTCCTTATCTCAACTTCAAACATTCCTTTCTTCTAAGTTTTTAGACAAAGCTTTACTCCTTTAACCAACTGCAAATTAAAGAATCTCTAAATCCATCTATGACCTGTAAGCCCCCGCCTCCCACTTCAAGGTATCCCACTTTTGGGGGGCCAAACAAATGCATGACCCCCATATATTTTGATTTTATGACTACCTGTAACTTCTGCTTCCCTAAAATGTATGAAACAGAGTTGTGACCTAGCTGTCTTGGGACCACTTAGTGAAGGCTTCTTGGGTTTGCACATTTCCCCAGACTATGGTCATGCATATTGGCTCAGAATAAACCTCTTTAAAATATTTTACAGAGCTCGGTTTTTCCACTAACATAGGCTAAGTAGGCTATACCATCTAGGCTTGTGTGAGTCCACTCTATGATTTTTGCACAAGGATGAAATTGCCTAATGACACATTTCTCAGTATGTATGCCCATCGTTAAGTGATGCATGACTTAGATTTGAGTTAAAGGTTTAGAGTTTTTTAAGCCTTAAATCAATTCTAGAGGATTGAATTACTAATTTCAAAATTGCATCAGATTGTTTCAATGTTACTTTTAGGGATAAATGTTAAAAACACTAATTCCATAATTAATCACCACAATTTAATTTTTGTGTCTCTCAAACTGTTTAGTTGTTTAAAAAAAAGAGAGAAACAAGGAAAGTGAGTGAATCCCATAGGTTTCCAATTAAATAAGCAGTCAATCTATAACATCAGAGATATAATTTAAAATAGAGCATGGATTATGGTCTGCCTGTATTTTAGTTTCTTGTGCAGTAGCGGGGCTAAGGGCTAGGAATCTGTCACATGGAGGCATATCTGAAAGTCTGGTGGGGGAATTTCCTTCAGGAGAGGGTCAGTAGGAAAGACCAAGGGAGCCTCAGGGCAAAAGAACTCAGGTTGAGGGAGGAGAGCTGATGTAGTCAAGCCGGAGTAAAACAGGGACTATACTGCTTACAGGGACTGTACTGCTTATCAGATTTTCTTCATCAGGGACTGTTGAGAGGGACCTGGGGAGACAGGATGGTAAAAACCAAAACAGTTCTATCAGCAGCTCTAGAAGCTGTTGGAAGAGAATGGCCACTGTACCTCACTCATTCTCGTTTTCTTCACCCCAAGGAGGCATTTGTTTGGGAACTGCGGCCTTGTGTGGCTCAAGCTCCAGCCGAGGAACAGATGGTGCAGCGAGAGGGTCTTGCAGCAACTAGACCAAGAAGAAGGACACGCAGATGCCATTTGCTATCATGAGGTCTGTTTCTGCCAGCAGAAGAGTGGAGCTTCACGCCGTGACTGACAAGATGCCTTGGCCAGCAAAGGTGATGCATTGAACTTAGGTGGAATTTCAAAAGAGCTGAGGTTCCTATAATTGGATGGATAAGACAGGATGTAGGAAGAATAGCTCTAGGATTATAACTTTGACTAACTTTATGTTCAAACTGGTGTTGCCAAGGAAAACATGATTACCTTTGTAAAGATATGGGTAGTGATTTTTAAGAGCCTGGGAACAGATTTATACGTCTTCCTAATCCTAAAACTCCCTGCCTGGTGCAATGCCTTGTACCCATAGGGGTTCATACAATGTTTGTTGATTTAAAGTAGATTTCAGAAAACATTATACAACAGTCATTTGTCTTTAAATCCAGTTCAGCAGCAATTAATAATAATCATAACCCAGGCATCTAGGCAATTTGTGCTCATTGTCTCATTTAGTGCCCCAGGCGACCCTGTTGAATGAGTACAACCTCCATTGACGAAGTAGAAACAGCGGCTTCCAGGTGGACAGCTTGATAAAGGCAGTGAAAGTCTGGCTCTCCTCTGCACATAGTACTTTTGAATGCAGATATGTGTAGACGTCCATAAACAGCAGACCTCAATTGAAAACGGGAAGCCAAGATTTGGAGCCAGGTCTGTTTGAGCATAAAGTGTATTGTTTCTGTCACTCCTTTCAAAAATGAGGCCTTTCTGAGCTTCCTCTAGTCTGCAAAGTACTGCATGATTGAAGAAAGAGGGAGAGAGGCTTCTTTGTCTAGAGGCCCACCAAATTGAACTAAACAGACAGCCGAATTTACACACGGAGTACTAGAGACTTCTGAGGAATAGAGATGGGTCAGAGAGCTCCCTTCATGACTGAGCACTGTCTGTGTGTCAGGTGCTGTTCCATGCACTGGAAACTACAGATGCACAGCCACACTTTGGATCCAGAGCCTCAGCCTTTTTATGCCTTTATTTTTGCAGCTGTGATATGTATTTTTAGGATTATTTAATGTATTTCTAGACCCCAGACAAGTCAATCTGATTTTAATGCTTCTCACTCGTGATTTCCTTATAATTTGGTGGATAATTGAGGTACCATGAAATAATAAAAAAAATGTGGATACCTCATGCATAATATATGTTTTTGTTTATTAATTTATCTTTGTAAAAAAGTAGAAAATGATGAAAAGGCAAAGAAACCATTCAATTCACCTATAATCCTATCACTGGCAATGACCACCTTACCAATGTCTTTTTTATACACACACACATACACACACACACACTTACAAAACTAGGATTATTGTCTTGTAAATTTGTGTGTGTGTGTGTGTGTTCAAATAAAAATAGCTCTCCCCCCCCTCACTATAATCTATGCACATTGTATGAAAACCAGAAAACAGGGCCAGGCACGGTGGCTCATGCCTGTAATCCCAGCACTTTGGGAGGCCAAGGCAGGCAGATTGCTTGAGCTCAGGAGTTCAAGATCAGCCCAGGCAACATAGCGAAACCCCATCGCTACGAAAAATACAAAAATTTAGCCGGGCATGGTGGTGCTTGCCTATAGTTCCAGCTACTAGGGAGGCCAAAGTGGGAGGATTGCTTGAGCCCTGCAGGCAGAGGTTGCAGTGAGCCAAGATTGCACCACTGCACTGCAGCCTAGGCAACAGAGCGAAACTCTACCTCAAAAATAAATAAATAAAAACAAAAACAAAACCAGAAAACACAGAAATGTGTAAAGAAGGTGTTCTTGTTTTGTGGGTGAGTCTAAAAGGACGGTTCTGGAGAACTGCCCTGTTTCGTGGGGTTGAGGGACAGGGAGGGCACACTTGGAAGAGGACGACATTCAGGGTATGTAAAGCTGTAGACCTGGTCCACGAAGGACTCCCTGCCGCTCAGGGTGTGTGCTTCTTCTTTGCTGTCTCTTTAAACTTTGAGATCATCCTCAGACCAGAAGGAGAAACCTGGGACGTGGTCCAGTCAGGAAGCTGCTTATAAATAGAAAAAATGGAAAAATCTGCTGGGGGAGAAGCAGGTGAGGGACTGACCAGAGGCCACATGATCATCATTGAGACCAAGTGCCCAAGACATAGCTCAGGGCTGTGTGAAGGAGTAGAATCAGACCCCACTGTACTCTAATGAGGTCTGTAACCCAGTGGCTCTCAAACTTGAACGTGCATTAAAATTAACCAGAGGGATTGTTAAAGCACAGATCGCTGAGTTCCACTCCCAGAGTATCTGACTCAGTAGGTTGAGGGAAGGCTTGAGAATTTGTTTTCTAAGAAATGTCCAAGTGATGTGGATGCTGCTGGTTCCTGGAGCACTTTAAAAACTGTCGCTGTAGGCCAAAAAGGAATCACAGAAAATTCTACATATGCCTGAGGAGGCTACTGTTTAGGATAGCTTAAAACCCACAGAATGCATTTGTGGGTGGGAGACTGAGAAATAGTAACCCCTTCTCCTGGGGTGCCTCATACCTGGAGGCTGATCTAGGGGAAGACAAAGATTCCACTGGACCTATGTCAGCGCTCCCCCAGATGCCTTCGGGTGACGACCTGAGTGGCTCAGCCTAGCCTGTCATCAAACACTGGGTGGGACTAATAGTTTGGCAGGGCAAGAACTAGGACATCTAGGTGTGTGTTTGATGAGAGGCTAGGAATGATGAAATGGTAGGAGTGAACATGTATAAGACTCGAACTGCTAATAGGGCCCAAATTTTGCTTTTTTTTTTTTTTTTTTTTTTTTTTTTGAGGCAGAGTCTTGCTCTATCACCCAGGCTGGAGTGCAGTGGCACAATCTCGGCTCACTGCAACCTCCACCTCCCAGGTTCAAGTGATTCCCCTGCCTCAGCCTCTCGAGTAGCTAGGATTACAGGCACCTGCCACCATGCCCGCCTAATATTTTTGTATTTTTAGTAGAGACAGGGTTTCACCATGTTGGCTAGGCTGGTCTCAAACTCCTGGCCTCAAGTGATCCACCTGCCTTGGCCTCCCAAAGTGCTGGGATTACAGGTGTGAGCCACTGTGCCTGGCCGATTTTGCCTTTTTATCATTGTCTCTATAGAGGCTAAAATAAAAACTCTTTAAGAACAAAACACTTGTGTCCTTAAACAGATCTTTTTTAGAAAGTAAATATAGAATGGTACTGATAAGTGTATGTGAATGTGCAAGAGTGTGCATGCACACGTGTTGTTGGAGAGGGGGTGGTATGGACATTTTTCTCCATAACTTTGCACTCCATTCTGGGAGAAAAATAACTTTCTCAATAACCAGAGGCGCAGCAACCAGAAAGGAGCAGATGGATTAGGTGATCTGGTCAAGAAAGCAAGGACTGTAAGGTGAGAAAGCCTGACATGGAGAAATGGGGCTGTGAGCCCAAACGACTTTAAATATTTGAAAAAGACAGATCCTTTGGATTATTTTATTTAGATTTTGGGACAAAAATAGGACAAATAAGTGAAATTATAGAGATGCTAATTTGGAGTTAATAGAAGTATGTTTTTAGTAATTAGAGCTGTCTGACCATAAAATGGACTGCACAAGATAATGAACTTTCCTAAATGAACATATATAAAAATATTAATAATATTATTTACCTGAGTCTTGGCAAAGAATAATTTTCAAAAATGATAAAATTATGACTGTCATTCAGGTAGAAAATGAATATATTTTAAAGATTCTGCTTAGCTCATCATTTACTGAGGGAATCAGGCAAATATATCATAATTGAGAGAACTCAGAAAGCAGATATAGTTCTAGATCAGGGATATTAAAATGAATTTTCAGATAGGTACAAAACTGGCTTTTGTCCCTCTACCACCAGATATAATTTATTTGCATGTCTGTAGACAAAATTTTGCAATGCTATCATTTTTCTGTAAGTTACAGAGTTATAATATAGACTACTCAAAAAAAGTGCATATCCTTATAGAATGAATTTCTGAAGTCTCTAGCATTTTCGTGAAAGAATATCCAGTAGTCTCTTTTGCTTGTTTTAAAGTGTTAAAATTTTCCTTATAGTCTCCTCTTCTTAGTAAAAATAACCTCAAAAATAGGTTATTCTTGATCACTAGTTTTTATATTTGGCCTGATTATTTACATGGGCATAACAAGAATGTAAATTTACCATATAGGCCGTGACAAACATATCTAAGTTTGTTTTGCTGAAAGTTTTCATGAAGAATGTGATTGGACTTTTAAAAGCCTTTATTATTTCCTGAGGCTAGGAAACCAAAGCCAAGAAACTCTCCACTAGATTTCACTTGCGGTACCTATAAATTTGGACAAATTCCTTCTCACCTGTAAGACTGGGACCTTTAAGCCAAATACTGGGACAGTTTTCCTGGAAGGGCTTTGTGATTATTGGCTCCAAACAGGCCATCTTAGTGCCTTAAAAGTGCTTGTTGTAATACCTGATTAAATAAACATTATGCTCAAAAATTGCATTCTAGGTGTTGGTTGAATAACAGATTTTTCCAATTATATTCTGGTGAAAGGACATATTATTAATGACTCTTTATTAGTGTCTTATTGCTGACAAAGCAATACTAATGTAACAAATGTCTACAAACTTACTGGCTTAAAATAACACAAATTTATCATTTTACAGTTCCAAAGGTCAGAAGTCTCAGATGGGTCTCAAGGGGCAAAAGCAAGGGGCTGCATTCCCTCTGGAAGCTCTAGGAGAAAATGCATTTCTTTGCCTTTTCTACCTACATTTCTTGGCTTGTGGCCCCTTCCCTTATCTTCAAAGCCAGCAACTAAGCATCTACAAATCTCTCTCTCTATTTCTGACCTGATTTAGCTGAAAATAGTCAAGTAGACATACAAACTAGAGTAAAAAGTCTAACAAATCATTTAGAGAATAGGTCTCTATAATTCAATAATTCATTTACAGAAATCACCAAATGGTCAAACCATAAACCAAATTCCCAGTCATTGCTGTCACCAGTGAGGAACAACTTATCAGCCATAAACAAATCAAAAACAAAAACAAGCCAGGCATGGTGGTTGCACACCTGTAATCCCAGCAACTCAGGAGGCTGAGGGGAGAGGAGTACTCAAGCCCAGGAGTTTGAGACCAGCCTGGGCAAAATAGAAAGACCTTGTCTCAAAACAAAACAAAACACAAAATTGGCAGAGGGAAAATTAAAATTAGAAAAACAAGGAGTAACTTTGGGAGGTTTGAGGCAGGTGAATCACTTGTGCCCAGGAATTAGAGATCAGCTTGGGCAACATGGCGAAACCCTGTCTCTGCAAAAAAAAAAAAAAAAAAAAAAGATATATATATGTATAAAAATATATATAAAATATATAAATATATATATAATATATATATATTAGCCCAATATGGTGGCATATGCCTGTAATCCCAGCTACTCAGAAGGCTGAGGTGAGCCTGGGAGGCAGAGGTTTCAGTGAGCTGAGATCACACTGCATTCCAGCCGGGGCAACAGAGCGAGACCCTGTCTCAACAACAACAACAACAAAAGCAAGGAGCAAGCAAAGTTCTGTTGTCATTTTGATTTCGCCTCTAAAAATTAAGAATGGATGTGCCTGGACTTAAGCTGCCCATGAAGCTGCCCATTTCTGTTGATGGAGTTTACCTGGCTCTGTCACGTGAACCCACTGAGCATCTCAGTGGAAGACCTCCAAAACTGCTAGAGGATAATTTTAGTTTTTTAATTTAAAAAACTTTTTAAAAAATTTTTTGAGACATCACTGTCGGCCTGGCTGGAGTGCAGTGGTTAAGATCTCACTTCAGCCTCTGCTTCTGGGTTCAAGAGATTCTCCTGCCTCAGGTCCCTGAGTAGCTGGGATTATAGGCATGCGCCACCACGCCCAGCTAATTTTTGTATTTTTAGTAGAGATGGGGTTTCGCCATTTGCCCAGGCTGGTCTTGAACTCCTGAGCTCAAGTGAGCCACCTGCCTTGGCCTCCCAAAGTGCTGGGATTACAGGTGTGCCTTTTCCTAGAGGATAATTTTAAGAAAAAGTAAAATCCTGATTCTCCTTCAGATATAAGGTGAATACATGTAAAAGATATTATTTCACTCATTATTTACTGAGGGAATCAGGTTGATGGCACAACCAGTTCAAAGGAAAATCCAAAGAACAGACACATATATGGATTGGGAATATTAAAATGAATTTACAAATAGATACAAAACTGGCTTTTTAATGGAGGGAGGGGGCATTTTCCTTCCATCAAAAATTGTTTGCTTTGCTAGCATAGTTGTGGTTAAGTGTGCAGACCCCAAGAGTCATGGCACTTGGACCTGAAGCTGGGAGCCACCATTTTTATTTATTTATTTTTAGAAATGGGGTCTTGCTATGTTGTTCAGGCTAGAATACAGTGGCTATTCAGAGGTATGATCATTATGCACTACAGCTCGAACTCCTGGCCTGAAGTGATCCTCCTGCCTCAGCCTCCCAAGTAGCTGGGACTACAGGCCCTCGCCACTGCTCCTGGCTGATCCTCCACTTTTAGCTATGTGGCCTTTGGAAAGTGACTAAAACAGGAATCAGCAAACAGCCCAAGGATAAAATCCAGCTGCCACCTCTATTTGTAGAGTTCTTAAGCTAAGAATAGCTTTTATATTCTTAAGTGAATGAAAAAAAAAAAAGAAAAATAATATTTTATGACACATGAAAATTATATGAAATTCAAAATTCAGTGCCCATAAAATAAGTTTGGTGGGAACGCAACCATGTTCATTTGTTTGCATATTGTCTATTACTGCTTTCAGTTCTACAGTGACAGGGTTGAGTAGTTGTGACAGAAACCATCTAGCCTGCAGATCCTAAAATATTTAATACCTGGTTCTTTACAGAAGAGAGTTTTACAACCCCTGAATTATCAGTAATATACTTCTCTAAGCCTTGGTTTTATCAATAATAAACTTGTCTAAGCCTTGGTTTTCCTGTAAAGTGAGGAACTAAATGATACTTACGTATGGGTGCAGTGGCTCACGCCTGTAATCTCAGCATTTCGGGAGGCCAAGGTGGGTGGATCACCTGAGGTCAGGAGTTCCAGACCAGCCTGGCCAATATGGTGAAGCCTGGTCTCTGCTAAAAATACAAAAATTAGCTGGGCGTGGTGGCGTGCGCCTGTAGTCCCAGCTACTCGGGAGGCTAAGACAGGAGAATTGCTTGAACCTGGAAGGCAAAGGTTGCAGTCAGCCAAGATCCTGCCACTGCACTCTGGCCGGGGCAACAGAGAGAAACTCTGTCTCATGGAAAAAAAAAAAAAAAGTACTTACATCATAGAACTGTGGTAAAAATTCACTGAGATGATGCATAGGAAGCACCTACTGTAGTGCCTGGCTTGTGGTGAACTCTATAACACATAGCTAATCAGTCCCTCCTGGAAATTGTTTATATAGATACTGGGATATAAATGTTCCCCTTTTTCCTTTGGGGTCTCTAAGTTAGGATGATATCACCTAGAAATGTCTATAGTCATGCCTATCTCTCTACCTCTTCCACAAAAATAGCAACACTAATAGTATATTAGCATACATTTATTGAGCACATTCCATGTGTTGGGTACCGCTGTGAGTTGCTTGTGCCTTTTTAAAAAATGTTTGAGATAGCGTCTCGCTCTGTCACCCAGGCTGGAGTGCAGTGGCGAAATCATGGCTCACTACAACCTCGCACTCCTGGGCTCAAGCTATCCTCCTGCCTCAACCTCCCAAGCAGCTGGTACAAGCATGCATCACTGTGACTGGTTAACTTTATTATTTTTAGTAGAACAAGGTCTTACTATGTTGTCCAGGCTGGTCTTGAATTCCTGGGTTTAGGTGATCCTCCTGCCTCGGCCTCCAAAAGTGCTGGGATTACAGGCATGAGCCACCATGCCTGGCTCTGCTTGTGTATTATCATCTCATTTAATCTTTACAACCACCTTATAGGGTAGGTAGGTATTATTATTGTTGTTGTCTCTGTTTTACAGATGAGGAAACTGAGACTCAAAGAGCTTAAGTAATTTATTCTAAGTAAGTAGTGGAACCAGCTTCAAGCTGAGGCAGTCTGACTGAAGAGCCATCCGCTTATGCTATCACCCACATAGAGAACACCCACCTGCAGCAGAGAGAACGAGGCCAGCTCCCTAAAGGAGGCAGCCCCATGAGATGGAGGAAAGAAAGGGAATCCTACTAAGAGCTCCCCGTTTTCCTGTCATTTTGTTTTGTTTTGTTTTGTTTGACAGAGGCTAATGTGGCTTTCTGACACCAGAGACAGAAATATGCTCAGGAAAATAAAGGATGAAAAAGACATGGATGTTTCCTTCCAATAGCTCACAGGACAGTGGGGGAGACAGACAGACAAACAAGCAAACGGAAAGAAGACAGGAAGCACTAAGGGCTAAAGTAAAGCCACCTTTTAAATGCTGCGGGAGCACAAGGAAGGGGACTCAACACAGCATCAATTAGAGACATGTGTGTCTTCCACGTGTTGGGCACTGTGCTGGGTGCCCTGCGGTTGACTCTGTTAATATTTCAAGTAGAATGAAATAATTTGCGTCCTTTGCTTTTTGGGCCTTTATTGGTGCCTCTTCTGCAATGAATACAGGGTACCCTACAGTCTGCTAGGATTCAGTGTTGGTTCATCTGTGATGTGGCATTTCTTACTTATAGTTTAATTATGATTGTTCTATGCCAACAATGCTGCAGTGAGGTCTGCAAATGGGCTAGGGAAAGCATTTGTTAAAATATAAAAATGTAATTAAAAAAAGTCAGGGTTGTCTTTCCACTAGCCAAATTATATACTTGCTTACATTTTAGGTACTAACTTATTAAAGGGGGGTCCCAATTATGTCTCCCTTTCACAATGCAAGCATGCCTTTAGCCACAATTATTTGTTGTTGGAAAACTGCACACACAATTGCAGCCACAGTTGTCTAATTGTAGGCTGAAAATGAAGGGCAGGCAGTTAATTATTTCTCAGATGCCTGATGCTGCATGTCATTAGCTGGCTGTGGCACAGGTCATTGCACAAGGCGTTCTTCAGCTACGAAAGGTAAGAGCCTGGGTGACGCACTCCACTGGGTGTGGACTTGGAGAGTTAAACGCCCGCTCATCTCTGCCAGGGTGTGCTTTGCTCCGAAGAGAACTGACTTCCCTGTCAACCTTTCACTTAATACTAGCTTACCTATTCTCTCTGTCTTGCTTCTTTGTCTGTTCTGATTTCTTCAGGAATCATCTTGTCAGCTGAAGTGGATGTGCGCTTTTAAAAAAAACAAAAATCTTTATTCCAATTTAAATTGTTTTTTTCATTTCTGTCTTCCAGCTTTTCTCATATTAGAAAGATTGGAGAGAATTGTTTCTATGGAAGTGGTGAACATGGGACAGAAGTACTTCTCTCTTGATAAGACCAGCATGTGCAAACCAGGAAGAAAAAGTAAAATCTCCAATAATAGAGAGATAAATCAAACAGGAAAAAAAAAAGTCTGGGTCCGAAAAACACGTGCATTCCTGTAGCAGAGTTTATGCGAGTTTTTTTTTCTTTTTTTCTTTTTTGTGATGAGGTCACTATTACTCACATGGCTGTGTGGGATAGACAGAGAACATGCATAAATAACAAGAAAGCAAGCATTCTAATTTGCGCACCTTGTTTTTTTAAGAGTATAATCATTGGCTGGAATTAATAGGAGCAGCTCTGAATGAATAACTTACTCAGCATGTAAGTGAAATAACTGAGATTAGAATCCTGAATTGTTACCTTGGGCCTGGAGCATTTACCTCCTTCTCTACCTGCTTATCTCCATCTCCTCCAAGGTGTGTTAACCTCATGATAATCAATCACTTCCATGATCAACAATCTCGCTTCTTTTGAGATACTCTTAGGATTTCTGCTCTAAAAACTTAGACTACTGGGACTTGATTTTCTTTGCTTTTTTCTCAGAAATGTATCTCTTTCTTGTCCAGTTGCAGCAAAATCGAGTGTATGCGGAGTTAAACTCCTACAATTAAATGTGCCATTTCAGTTATGGTTTCTTATTCAGAGTTTTACTTTTTTGTGTCTAGATTTCATCTATTAGTTTTATAATCTTCATTGTACCCCCTTTGTGACATAAAAATTCTATTAAACCAGTTTTACAAACATTGGAAGGTTAGGAGCAATAAACATTGGTACAAAAGTCCCAATTGAAATTAAGGGTTTCTCATAAAACACTACCTTTTAAGGAAATATTGCCAAGTATAATATAATTGTCTTCACTGAATGTATCAATCAGAGTTCTTGATTGCAGACAACAGAGGCCACCCTAACTGTTGAGGCAGGAAGAGTTTTATTGAAGGAGTATTAGGTAGCTCACATCTAACACACATAAACTCACATACGAGTTGTTATGATAATTCAAACTCTCACATATACTGTCAAAAGAGTGAAAAGGCAACCCACAGAATGGGAAAAAATATTTGCAAATCACATATCAGATAAGAGAGTAATATACAAAATGTATAAAAAACTCCTAAAACTCAACAACAATGACAATAACAAAACAACCTGCTTTAAAAATGGGCAAAGGACTTGAATAAACATTTATCTAAAGAAAACATACAAACGGCCAATAAGCACAAGAAAAGATGCTCAACCTCGCTAGCCAATGCGGAAATGCAAATCAAAACTACAACGAGATCTCACCTCATATCTGTTAGCATGACTACTCATTAGCAGCCATCCTAATTTTTAAAAACCCAGAAAATAACAAGTACTATGAAGATGTGGGGAAATCAAATCCCTTGATCTTGCTAGTGGGAAGGTAAAATGATGCAACTGCTGTGGAAAGCAGTTTAGCTGTTTCTCAAGAATTACTGTATGATCTGACAATTCCACTCCCAGGGATGTGATATTGTTTGGCTCTGTGTTTCCACCCAAATCTCATGTTGAATTGTAATCCCCACATGTTGGAGGAGAGGCCTGGTGGGAAGTGATTGAATCATGGGGGCGGACTTCCCTCTTGCTGTTCTCATGATAGTCAATGTGTTCTCTGGTTGTTTAACAGTGTGTAGTACTTCCCCCTTGGCTCTCTCTCTCTCCTGCTCTGCCATGTGGAGAAGGTGCTTGCTTCCCCTTTGCCCTTCCACCATGATTGTAAGTTTCCTGAGGCCTCCCAAACCATGCTTCCTGAACAACCTGAGAAACTGTGAGCCAATTAAACCTCTTTGCTTCATAAATTACCCAGTCTCGGGTAGTTCTTTACAGCAGTGTGAGAATGGACTAATATAGTATGTAACCCAAAGAATTTAAAGCAGGAACTCAATTAGATACTTACATCCCAACTTTCACAGCAGCATTATTCACAATTGCCAAAATGTGGAAACAACCCAAACCTTCATCAACAGATGAATTAATAAAGTATAGTGTATACACTCAATAGAATATTATTCAGCCATAAAAAGAAATGAAATCCTGATAAATGCTACAACATGGATGAAACTTGAAAGCATTACGCTAAGTGAAACAAGGCAGACACAGAAGGACAAATATTGTATCATTCCACTTACATGAGGTACCTAGAATAGGCAGATTCATAGAGACAGAAAGTACAATAGATGTTTCCAGGGGCTGGGACAAGACGGGAATGGAGAGTTGGTGTTTAATAGATACAGAGTTTCTGTCTGGGATGACGACATTCTGGAAATGGATAATGGTGATGGTCACATAATACTGTGAATTTACTTAATTCCACTGAATTGTACACTTAAAAGTGGGTAACATGGTAAATGTTATGTTATGTATATTTTATCACAATTTAAAAAAAAAGCAAATACTCCTAGCTCAGGGGCTGTGCACAAACAGGCAGCAGGCTAAATCTTGCCCGTAGGCTGTAGTTTGCCAACTACCGCTCCATGGAATAGGGACACAAGCTAGGCAGAGGCTACAGTGCGTGAGCCTCTTTAGAGTCTCACCACAATGGGTAAAGGAATATGCTCCCTATTAGTCAGCTATGTGTATTTGCTCTTCCAGTAATGCAAGTTCCCCTGCATGAACTGAAAGAATTTCTTCAACTTATTATGCCTCAATACTTCTCTATATCCTTATCGATCATCCTGCTTCCTTTCACCTCAGGCATGGCATTCTTTTATAAGACTGACTCCTATGCTTTTTTCTCTTGATTCCATTTTCTCCCCTCCTTCTCCTAGATTCTTGCTCCATTAATCATCCCTTCCTCTCCGCTGGTTCCTTTCTCTTAGCAGCATGTCTGCCCATATTTCCTCTAACATAAAAGGAAGTTCTCTCAACCTTCCATCCCCCTCCAGCTACTATTTTATCCCTTTCTTCCCTTCACTGTCAACTCTTTAAAAAGAGTAGCTTCCACTAGAGTTACTAAGCTAAACTAAAAAGAGAAGTACCTACGTACTTATTCTTTAATCTACTGCCATCTGACTTTCTGTGAATTGAAATGTCCTTTTAAAGGTATTTCCTGATTAGGAATCTAAGGGCTCCCATCATTTGACCTTTCTGCTTCATTTGGTGTGTTAAGTGCTCCTTCTCAGTCTCCTTTCCAGGATCCTTTACAAATCCATCCACAGTTACTGAGCACTTGCCACCTGCCTGGCACTGCACTGGGTGCTGGGGACACTGTCTGCCCTCCATGCATCTCTAGGTTTTCTTTCCAAGGCTTCCCTGAGCATCTTCTGTTCTTGCTCTGTGCTCCTTCTGCAGGTTATTTACCCACTTGCTTGGTATTGAGAGCTTACTCTATGCCACCCTGTTCTAAGTGCTTCACATGGATGAACTCACTGGACATTTGAAACATTCCCATGAGGTGCTATTAACATCTCCATTTCACAAATGAGAAAATCAAGGTACAGAAGGTAGCCCTAAGTACTACAGCTAGTAGGTGGCCGATCTGGGATTAGAACCAGGCAGTCTGAATGTAGAACTTGCCCTCTTTACACTCTACTGCCTCTCCCTCAGCTTCAAATATCTCCTCCATGCTGACTGCTCCATCTATGACTTCAGTTATTTTTGTTTTGTTTTGTTTTGTTTTGCTTTGCTTCGTTTTTATCTTTGAAATGAGGTCTCCCTTGGTAACCCAGGCTGAAATGCAGTGGCGTGATCATAGCTCATTGCAACCTCGAACTCCCGGGCTCAAGGGATCCTACCACTTCAGCCTCCTGAGTAGCTGGGGCTACAGGGACATGCTATGAGGTCTGGCTAACTTTTTTTATTTTTAGTAGAGATGGGGTCTCACTATGTTGCCCAGGCTGATCTCAAACTCCTGGCCTCAAACAGTCCTCCCACCTTGGCCTTCCAAAGTGTTGGGATTACAGGTGTGAGCCACCACCCCTGACCTATGGCTGTAGTTTTGATGTAACTCCTGGACAGGTTCTTTCCTAACATTTATGGGGCTCATACAAAAACCAAAACGGAGCTCGCATTCTAAATGTCTGAAACTTTTAAAGTTATAAGTGAAACTATCAACTGTTAAGTACATTCTATTATCCTGCTTGACAAATATATCTTCTTAACAATACGGATTAAATTTAGGCTTCTTGGACTCTGTGGGGTTCATGCTGGAACACAGCGGCATTGAACAAGCTGGCTCTTGCCCCTGGACTGCCCCCTCCTTCCCCTGCACACTGTGAAAGGCCTTGTGCACACACAGCCTGCGCTTCCCAGCTCTACTCACACATCCCACAAACACTCTAGGCTCTGGGCTTTGCACACTGGTGGTACCATTCACCCCTAGCATGTGCTCCCAGGGGAGAAACTTGCATGGGCCTCCCAGGAAGACTCGGGCCTCTGGGGCTGGGATTCTTTGGGAATGCTGACCATGGGCTCTGGGTAAGCATGCTCTGTTGGCCCCACAGACCCCTTGCACTAGACTGACCCTCTAAAGCAGCGTTTTTCAATTTGGCATGAAAGATCTTTCCCCCTGTTTTTTGACTTCCTATCTGTTACAGATCAACACTTTTTTTACTGCAACAAAATGAATAGTAGCCAGGCACGGTGACTCACACTTGTAATCCCAAAACTTTGGAAGGCTGAGGCAGGAGGATTGCTTGAGCCCAGGAGTTTGAGATCAGCCTGGGCAACATAGGAAGACCTCGTCTCTACAAAAAAATTTAAAAAAAATTAGGCAGCATGGTGGTACGTACCTGTGGTCCCAGCGATTCTGGAGGCTGAGGTGAGAGGATGACTGAGTCTGGGGGGTCAAAGCTACAGTGAGCCCAGCCTGGGCAACAGAGCAAGACTCCTTCTCAAAAAGAAAAAGAAAAAAAGAATTGCTAAAAAAGTGAAATAAAAACAAAGACATACAAAATACAAATCCATGTTTCTTATTGTTAGGCATAAAATAACATTTCCATAAATATAATAAAAACATAAAAGAGAAAAAATCACAAAATCGACATTGCTGTTGTGTGTGTACAGATAATTAACATGTGCAATCACTACCCTCTTCATAACTTTGATTGCTCCATGGTCATAACTAAACAAAACTTTATGAATAAGATAGAATTCCCAAGTATTAGATGTCTATAGCACACAGCACCATTCATGTCAATATTTAAGAGTTTTAATGTGACAAATGAGTTTGCCTATTACCTGTTCAATCTTGGTTGAGTTGATAAAATACCGCTTATAGGTAATAACATATATCTAAACTGTTTTCATGCTTTGTAACAAAATCGGTCTCACAGGGGTATTTTGATGGGTGGATGGAATAAGATATTTCAGAGTAATTTCAGCAAGCTCAGGTCATTCATTTTTGATTTTTATACAAAATGGAGCAAAATTCATCTTCAGTCCTTCATCAGTAGCCAGTTCCAATAACTTACCTTCTAAAATTATAATGAAATTTAAATTATCTTCCTATGAAAGGCATTTCAGGCTCATGAATTGAGACCAGCCTATGTTCAGCTGACTTCTTTCTTGATGAACGAAGCAGAATGTTGATTTACATTCTGGCACAAGTTCCTTAAACTGGGTAACTAATCCAGAATGTTTTACAGTCATGGCAGCTGTGCCATCAGAATATAATCCTACACAAAATCCTAAACTCCAGACACATTTATGAACAATGGAATCCTTTATAGTTTTATACAATTCACAGTTGTATTTATTGGCTGTGAGGCTAAAAAAATAAAAGAACTATTTCTTCCAATAGCGATCACATTGAAATCATACATATAATAACCGAATGGCCATAACTATATCTGTGCATTCATCTAGTTGCAATGAGAAATATTCTGCTAATTTCATTTTTTCCCTGTGAGTTAACCTTCCATATCACTAGCCAATTCCCAAATATGTTGAGCTATAGTTTCACTAGAAAATGGCATTTGAGCTACTTCTCTTGCACAGTATCACCCAACATTTTTAAGCCAATATCTTTGATGCATGCAGTCTTGCATTCATGTCTTGGCAATTGTATATATGTTTGATCTTAGCAATCCCAAATACTACTTTATAAGAAGCCTGCAAAGTTTCTTTCATGTGAAATAGTTAACATCTGCTTCTGTCAGGTTTTAAAATCAGTACTCCTTCTTTCAAAGAATTCTTTTGATTTTGCTCTTATTTTTTACATATGGTATGCAAATGCCACTTAAATTTTAATGGTTTCATTGCTTCATTAGTCAGTAAAGTGCTATGAATAATACACTATAGTTTTAGCATTTTATCATCAATGATGACTACAAAGTGAACTCAACACATGAAAATTATACATCCAAATAAAATGAGTATGAACTTTTTTGGTCTCTATTTCTTCAGAATCAACTTCCATTGTCATTTGGTTTACTACAACTACAACATTTGCAATGTGTGTTGATTCTTGAAAAAGAAATCTTGTAAAACTTGTTTCCCAATTTGCCAATTAGGGTTAAAAATAAATTTTATAAAGTTTATATTCTTACTTTAGCTATGAGGTTAAATATATATACTTTTTTTGTTTGTTTGTTTGAGATGGAATCTCACTCCGTCACCCAGGCTGGAGTGCAGTGGCGTGATCTCGGTTCACTGCAGCCTCTACCTCCTGGGTTCAAGCGATTCTCCTGCCTTATCCTCCTGAGTAGATGGGGCTACAGGCATGTGCCACCACACCCAGCTAATTTTTGTGTTTTTAGTAGAGACAAGCTTTCATCATGTTGGCCGGACTGGTCTTGAGCTCCTAACCTCAAGTGATCTGCCTGCCTCGGCCTCCCAAAGTGCTGGGATTATAGGCATGAGCCATCATGCTCAGCCAAATATATATATATATATATTTTAAAGACTAGCTTGATTAATATTAAAATGATATAAACAATAAGTTATAAAAATAAAGAAATACTTTCAATTAAATATATTTTTATTTGTAAATTTAAAAATAAGTTTTAAAAAACTTAAAAAGAAATGCTTTCATCTATTTATATTTTACCTTTAGGTTATAGGTGACTAACCTGAATATATCACATGTTGAAAAGCAGTTGTATTGTCCATAACAGTATGGAATCTACATCATGTGTGATTCAGTACTCTATTTGACCATACGATAGCTGGCCTATACCCTATTTAATGAGACGATGAACCAATGTCAGATTGGTACAAAAGTTTCTAAATGCTTACTCTCAGTTTCTGTGCTTATTTCATGTGACCTAGTAACAGGCCACCTGTGGACTGACTGGTCCCTGGACCACCTCATGAATTGCACTGCTCTGAAACCCAGGCCCAAGGCAAGGGCCCCTCTTTTGTGTGTCTCAGGGGAGCACTGCTCCTGAATTATAAGCTTTAATTATTGGCTACCTTCTAGATATATTTACATGGATAATGATAATAGTAAACTTATTAAAATCATAAAACTATCTGATACCGGGAGCTTAGCATGTGGCAGGAATATAACAATGAGTAAGAAAGAGGTTTCCAGCCTCACAAACCTTAAATTTTAGTGAGAAAAATAGGTATTTTAATTATGATGACATCTCTTTGAGATAGGTCTTATCCACATTTTACAGATAGTTATAGAGGTTAATATGTCCAAGTTCTCAGAGCTAGCAAGTGGTGCATCAGAGCCTCAAAACTAGGTCTTACTGGCCACAAACTCATGCTTTTCATCACTTATCTATGTTGTGAAATCTCAAAATCGTGTTTTAAAAAACTAAACCTTGTTTTTTCTACCCAGTTCTCCAGAGCCCCCCATCACAACCAATGATGTTGTTGTCCTCCTTGTGTCTTATAGCAGAAACCCAGAAACCTCACAATGGCTCTGTCACTCCCTCAGAGCATCTCTACCAACCTCCCATATCCTTCCTCTCCTCATTTCCAGGCCTGATTCAGACCAAGAAATATCAGGTAGTAGCCTTCACATCTTCCATGTCTCCCTCCTCCATTCTTCACACTAAACATAAGGCATAGTAAATTATTTCCCTTCTTATAAACCCATACTTCATAAAGTGAAGCATTATATGAAGATGAACTCTGATCAAGTTATCATGGTGATCTACTAAAAATTTTGTATTTGAAAATTTGACCATAACTGTCTTCTTTAAAAAAAAAAGTTCACTTTCACAGCATCTATTTCAATGTTGTAGTTAGTCTCAACTTGCAAGCAGTTGTGAACATCATTACTTATCTGTCTGTGGCATGACCTTCATGAGTGATAAAATTATACTCACTTTTCTTTTACCACATCAATTTGTATGTTGATGATAAACTTTGTCTATTTGATTTAATTACAGAATGAAACCCTAAGTATTAGTCTACAGCTATGCTATAATGTGGCAGACTGGCTAGGTGTTCACCATGCTGTTCTATTTTCCTCCTGGATCCAGTAGACATTCTTCCAGGCAGGTGGGGCCACGTGGTTGAGTTCTGACTAAAAGGAGACAGGTAGAAGTCAGGAAGGTGACCCATAAAACCTCTCCCAGAGTTTGCCATGTGATTTCCCTACTCCCATTTGCTGGGCAGAACTCAGAGATTCAACAGAGGACATTGAATATAAGAAGTTTGGGTCCTTGAATGACAGTGGGGAAGAGAGTCTAACCCCTCTCCAACCTACGTTGGACTATTCCATGAGATGATTGTGCATTAAACTTATGCTGTGTTCAACCACTGATTGTTTGGGGTAAGAGCAGTAACTAATATACATAAATAAGTAGATGAATAAAATGGATACATTAAATGCATAAAATGTTTACTCTTTTGTCTTTGTTTTGTTTTTGAGATGGAGTCTCAGTCTTGTCACCCAGGCTGGAGTGCGGTGGTGCAATCTTGGCCCACCGCAACCTCTGCCTCCCTGGGTTCAAGTGATTCTCCTGCCTCAGTCTCCCAAGTAGCTGGGTCTACAGGCACCCACCACCACGCCCAGCTAATTTTTGCACTTTTAGTAGAGATGAGGTTTCACCATGTTAGCCAGGCTGGTCAAAATGTTTACTTTCTCATGAAATCCGTCTGTGGCAAAACTCTAAATAGTAGAGTTTATGTACTCTAAATAGTGACCTGGATTTTCTAATAACAACCCAGAGGACTTTCCTGTTTGGATTTATTCAGGCTCAGGTGACAGAGCTATAAATTTATGTAGCTAAATATTTAGCAGTGTTGACAAAACTGTTTCTAGTAATTAATGGCACATCTGGAATTAAATTCTCTTTTTCTTCATCCTTTATTCTATGTTTACAATCCCACCAGATGATACACCTAGTTTAAATGGTCTTAAATAGAGGCTGGGCACAGTGGCTCACACTTGTAATCCTGGCACTTTGGGAGGCTGAGGCAGGTGGATCACCTGAGGTCAGAAGTTCCAGACCAGCCTGGCCAACATGGTGAAACCCCGTCTCTACTAAAAATACAAAAATTAGCCAGGCATGGTAGCGTGCATCTGTAATCCCAGCTACTCAGGAGGCTGAGGCAGGAGAATTGCTTGAGCCCAGGAGGCGGAGGTTGCAGTGAGCCGAGATTTCGAGATTGCCACTGCACTCCAGCCTGGGTGACACGGCAAGACCCTGTCTCCAAAAAAAAAAAAAAAACAAAAAAAACGAAAAACAAAAACAAAAAAGGTCTTAAATAATGCCCACTTAACTAACTTTTTAGTTATTTCCTTCATCTGCAATTGTATTTTCTCTTTTTGGGCTCAAACCTTTTCTATAAAATTGTATTTAATTCCACAGTCCTTTTCTTTATTATTTGTTATCAGCATGATTTTATTTGTGACTAATTAGACCAATCCTCACGGCAAGAAGAATTAAATAAAATAACATTTCTATTTTAGAAGACCCAAAGAAGTACAAGAGTTAGTTACAATTTTAATGGACTTACAGATTTCCAATAATAAAGACAATTAGGTAATAATATGATTTAAACTCAAGGGGATGGTCTAGGACACCCACCCTTTTTGAAAATTATAGAAGCTCATTATGGTCACTATTAAAAGGATCTGGGCTTCATGTGACCCATTAGAATTAAATAAAAGGATGGAATCCTGTGGTCTGGACAGGAGCTTTCTGAGTACAATTAAGAAGCTCAGTGCACTGGGTCAAAAACATCAGCTATGGTTTGGGCTGACGTTATTTTCTCATTGAAAAGATTTATTATTAAATAGAAAAATGATGAAATAAATAAAACTCAAATTATTTATACTTCCATGTTAAGTTTAGAATAATCTGTGTTTTTCTTGTATTCTAAGTGCTTGCAGTATTTAAGAATTTGGCATTTTAAGGAATCTAGCAAGTTGTGATTCCAATTTAGAAAGAGTTAATTGGGTTGATTTAGACTTCAGAGGAATAAGATAATTTTACTTGGATTACAAGCAATAATGGAATAATTAAAAGAACTTAAGTTTAACCATCTTTGTAAATTTAATTAGATGTACAAGAATTATATAAATATACAATAAAGTTCATTTGATAACCAACTAAGGCAAAAAAATTTATTTATATTAAAATTATAAGTATAATTTTAAATGCTTAAAAGATTAAGCTGTAAAGGCTAAAATGTGATTATTGAACTCTTCTAGATTTGTATTAATAAATGCAACAATAAGATTTATAAGTTGACATCTTAAGAAAGAACAAAACTTTTTCAGTTGTCATTTAAAATGTAAAGGAATATAGAAAAGACCCGAGCAATCTTTACAGGGCATGAAAGCCACCTCTAAGAACACCAAAAATCTCCCCTGAAAATTTTCTTTCTTTTTTCCCCTATTGTCCTGTAGCTGCCCCTGACACCAATATCTTCTTTTTCTTCTCCTAGCACCAAAATGCTATGCATCGCAAAATAAAAATTTAGAATGTGATCATCTTTAAGCAATAATTTGTAAAATGTTTTGTAAATTGAAAATGAGACCTTTGCAGGAGAGGAAAATAAAGGGAAAAAGATTCTAAGTGGATTTATTACCACAGAACTGTATGTTTAAAAATGGTAAAGATGAGGCCAGGTTGGGTGGCTCATGCCTGTAATCCCAGCACATTGGGAGGCCAAGGTGGGTGGATCCTGAGGTCAGGAGTTCGAGACCAGTCTGGCCAACATGGCGAAATCCCATCTCTACTAAAAATACAAAAATTAACTGGGTGTGGTGCGGGTGCCTGTAATCCCAGCTACTCAGGAGGCTGAGGCTGGGGAATCCTTGAACGCAGGAGGTGGAGGTTGCAGTGAGCTGATATCTCACCACTGCACTCTAGCCTGGGCGACAGAGTGAGACTCCGTCTCAAAAAGAAAAAGAAAAAAAAATGGTAAAGATGGTAAATTTCATGTTTATTTTACCTCAATAAAAAAAGGAAAAAGAAAAAAGTTTTAATGAAATGTTTGCTTTATTCTTTCATGTTGTCACTTACTGGACTTCTGGACATTGGTCTGTACAGGTACAGAAGCCCTCTCATGCCATAAAGGTAAAAGCAATAGCAATAACCTATTAAAATAACACTAAAGCTGCAAAGAATTCACTCTTTTGCATGAGTGTGGCAGACAAATATTAAATGTGGATGAATAATTCTTTTTAGTCTCAGCATCCTTGAATTTGCTTGGTCCTTGAAGTAATTGCTTGCAGCATCGTTTACAAACTTCTTTTGAAAGTGACAGATGATAATCTTCCCCAACCCGAGCATCTTTGACATTGAAATGTGCAGTGTGAGGTTTCTAATAAGTCCATATGGGGTAGTGAAGCTCGAATGGTGCTCCACAAGCCCTCCAGGTTCCGTAGGGACTCCGAGGTGACAGCCTGGGCCTCCTTCCTCCTTCAACCAGAGCAGCTTCACTTCCGTCTCTTTTACATATCAGGCTTCTTGTCAGATTTCATTTAAGAGCAGCTTTCATAGCTTTGCAGATTCTGAAAACCACTGGGCCACAGTAGGCTTTTTCCAGAGCAGTGGAAACACTGTGCGAGGAATGTAAACTGCACAATGGGATGATATTAACTTGAGGGATCACTGGGCTGTTTTTTTTCTAAGAAATGTAAAGAGCTTCACAAATACTGACTTGGGGAATTTACTAGCCCTTTAACTAAACTGCAGGGGCAACCACCCTACATTATTTCCTTTGGAAATAAGATCATTCTTGTTTTCTTGGATATTTGAAGACTCTTCTTGCTTATATTTAGAAACTTCTCTCATTTTATTTGGCACTGATGATATAGCCTAGCCTTGTGAGCCTGTGGGCTATTCAAGGTTGCCAGTGTGGCAGAACAAGTCTTTTTATGTCTGCTTTCCTAATGCTCAACAGCTACTGAGCCTAAAGTAATAAGAGAGAGCTGTTTAAAATTTAACTCGAAACCAAGAAGGAGACAACGACTCTTAGCATAATACGAAAATGCTAGTAGGAGGTTTTGTTTTTGTGTTTGTGTTTTTCACTGTGTGCAAAAGCTCAGGTTGTTTTTTAGATGCTTTATTCCGTGGTCCTGCAATCAGACTGCCACAGGGGCCTCTGTGACTCTCTTGCTCCATTCATCTTTCAAGGTTTTTTGTTTTTTTTTTTGACAGAGTCTTGCTCTTGTCACCCAGGCTGGAGTGCAATGTCGTGATTTCAGCTCACTGCAACCTCCACCTCCTGGATTCAAGCGATTCTCCTGCCTCAGCCTCCTGAGTAGCTGGGATTACAGGTGCCCACCACCACGCCCGGCTCATTTTTTTTGTATTTTTAGTAGAGATGGGGGTTCACCATGTTGGCCAGGCTGATCTCGAACTCCTGACCTCAGGTGATCCACCCACCTCAGCCTCCCAAAGTGCTGGGATTACAGGTGTGAGCCACCTTGCCCGGCCCACTTTTCAAGGTTTTAAGGACCTTCCACCCTACTTGACCCATCCCTCATCCATCACAGGAGCTTGAATTGACTGAGAATGACCAATACCAATGACCAATGACCGGGGCAGAGGTTGGGAGGCAACACAGGAAGTGGAATAGAAAGGGTTAGAGATGGCTGAGTGAATGTGTTTGGGGGGAAGAAGACATAAGGGAGAGGGGTGTCAGGGTAGTAGGTGGTGATCTGAGTCATGTGAGGTACCCAGGCCTCTAGAGCCAGGGCCCTGTTTCATTAAAAATCTCCAAAACCTCTTTTGCCTTAGTTGAGACACAGCGTTTGAGCCTTCAGTAAGGACCTGAGTGAGGGTTCTTCAGGATTCTAAGTGTTTGCTTGACTTACAGTTCTACAATAAAATTATATTTTAGAGAAGATTTGAATCATTATTTTAAGATGTGGCAAAATGCAGGCACAATGCTCTCTCTAGATTGGATCACACTTTTAAAAAAATCGCAGTGACATGGAAGTTTGAGGACACTTAGAGTCCGGTTGAAAAGATTTTCTGGTCTCTTATTTTCTCCATGATATTCCATGCTAAGCAATATTCAATTTTTCCTTACCACTTGCAACGCTGGTCTGAAAATGAAGCTTTTTACTTTGTCTGAATGACTCTGAGCCTTGAGCTGGCATTACCCACTAGACAGCACAATCCAGTAGATCCTTCCATGATGATAGAAATATTCCATATCTGCAGAATCCAATATGGTATCTACTAGCCACATACAGCTATGGAGCACTAGAAACGTGGTCGATGCCACTGAAGAGCTGACTTTTTAATATTTTTAAATCAATTTAAATTTAAATACCCTCACGTGGCTAGTAGGTAATGTCTACATTCTTGGGGGTAGAAAAGAGAGGGCATGTTCATGCATTGCTGATGAGTCCAGCAGTCCTGGTGGGCTGCATTTCCTAAGGTGGGAGGCGTCTTCTCAGTCATTTTATTATTTTTTTCAGGGAATAAATTATAGGCCCTTTGTGACAATCACTCATAATTTTCCTATGTCGTTTGGGATGCCAAAGGGCAAGCTTCTACATATTTCTAATAGCAATGTTAAACCACAAGCAGGCACAATCTTTAAGAAGATTTTGGGCAAAATAGAGCCTTTCTCTGGGAAGCGGCACCCAGAGAACTTTGAACAAATAGTCCAGTCTTTTAATTCTACCCGCTTTCTATGAGAAGGAAAAACTGTTACCTAGTGATGTCAGAGGTCCCAGATCCTGGGTGGGATAAGTTCCTGAGGTCCTCTATCACTATTACCCTTCCCTGTAATGACAGGAGACCTCATGCTGGAGAGAGTGGTAACTCCCTCTGGTCAGCAATTTGACTCCATCCAAATCCAGTTATTAGTCCAACATAACTGTGATTTTGAACACTTATTTATTGGGCACCTCTTCTGTGCTAGGTGCAAGGGTTATCTCCTGTAATCTTTATAACAATGAAATCAATACTATTATTATCCAATTATGTAACCAAGGAAACTGATGCTTAGCAAGGTTAAGTAGCTTTCTCAAGGTCAAGGTGAGTGGTGGAGCAAGCAGGTAAACCCATGTGTGTCTAAGGCCACAGCCTATGCTCTAGTCACCAGGTAATCATTGATCTCTCTGGAATATCCACAGTTGGAAAGCAAGGACTTTGCAACTTGCTGCTGAATGTATTTCTTTTCTTTTCTTTTTTTAGACCGAGTCTCGTTCTGTCACCAGGCTGGAGTGCAGTGGCGCAATCTCGGCTCATTGCAACCTCCACCTCCCAGGTTCAAGTGAGTCTCCTGCCTCAGCCTCCCCAGTAGCTGGGACTACAGGCGCACACCAACACACCCAGCTAATTTTTGTATTTTTAGTAAAGACGGGGTTTCACCATGTTGGCCAGGATGGTCTCGATCTCTTGACCTCGTGACCCACCCACCTTGGCCTCCCAAAGTGCAGGGATTATAGGTGTGAGCCGCTGTGCCCAGCCGCCGCTGAATGTATTTCTTACCACCAATCTGTTCAGTCATTACTATTCCTTCCCCCTTTCCTAAGTACCATGGGAAATGAAGCATAAAGCACTCAAAGTCCAAGGAAAAGGCAACATTCAGGATTCAGTTCCAGAATGTCTGCCTCTTCCAGACCCATGCTCCCACCAGTTGGCCATGCATTCTCAACTTGCATGCCTATGTCATCTGTCTCTTCTGACCCTGAAGAAAGCTTCTATTCACTCCATGAGCACCTGCACCTTCACTGAGTCAATAGTGAGTGGCTGCTATCTGCACCAAAATCCATTGCTCAATATTCTTTCTTCTCCATTCCAAATGGTTCCTCATTTCTGTGAAAGCCCACATGGTCTTACCATATGTCTCGTTGTCTTGGTAGTAAACGCATTTTTAAAAACAAATATGTCAGCATCATTTTGTTTTTTTTCATTAGTGGTCTCATGTTACAGTCATAACAGGTTGCATAATGGTTACATCTAGTACAAAATAATGCTATTGTGTTTTCTCTTGGAGGCTGTTATCTAGTTACATTGCTTGTGACTAGCTAAGGAGGATATTGTAGAAAAACAAAGACCTTCAAGGTAGACAGACCTGACTCTGAATTCTGACTTTATCATCCATTCATTTAAAAATATTTATTCAAGGCCAGGCGCGGAGGCTCATAGCTGTAGTCCCAGCACTTTGGGAAGCCGAGGCGGATGGATCACCTGAGGTCAGGAGTTCAAGACCAGCCATGGTCTTGAAATCCCATCTCTACTAAAAAATACAAAAAATTCGTTAGGTGTGGTGGCACACGCCTGTAATCTCAGCTACTTGGGAGGCTGAGGCAGGAGAATTGCTATATATATATATTCCTGGTACGTAGTAGGTCCTGAATAAATATGTATATATACTCCAATTTTAACATTTCCTATGCCCCTTCCCTGCTTTATTTTTCTCCTCAGCATATCATTGGCTAATATAGCTTTTTCTCCTCATTTGTCTTGATTAATGTCTATCTCACTCCACTTGAACATAAGCTCCATGAAGACAGTGTTTTTTTCTTTTTCTTTTTCTTTTTTTTTTTAATACAGTCTTGCTCTGTTGCCCAGGCTGGAGTGCAGTGGCTCAATCACAGCTCACTGCAGCCTCGAACTTCTGGGCTCGAGCGATCCTCCCACCTCAGCCTCCCAAGTAGCTGGGTAGCTGGGACTATAAGCATGTGCCACCATGCTCAGCTAATTTTTAAAAAGTTTTTCTTAGAGATGGGGGCCTTGCTATGTTGTCCAGGCTGGTCCTGAACTCCTAGCCTCAAGTCATCCTCCTGTCTCACCCTCCCAAAGCACTGGGATTAGAGTTGTGAGCAACCATGTCTGGTGTTTTATTCACTGCTTCATCCCAGCACTTAAAATGATCCCTGGCACATAGTAGGTCCTGAATAAATACGTGTGTGTGTGTATATACATATATACACACACAGATATATACACATATATATACATATATACACATATATACATATGCATATACATATATACATATATACACATATATACATATGTATATACATATATATACACATATATACATATGTATATACATATATATACACATATATACATATGTATATACATATATATACACATATATACATATGTATATACATATATATACACATATATACATATGTATATACATATATATACACATATATACATATGTATATACATATATATACACATATATACATATGTATATACATATATATACACATATATATATGTGTATACATATATATACACATATATATGTGTATATATATATATATACACATATATATATGTGTGTATATATATATATACACATATTTATTCAGGACCTACTATGTGCCAGCAATAATAATGTATTGATTGATATATGCCTGGCACATAGTAGGTCCTGAATAAATATGTGTGTGTATATATATATATATGTGTGTGTGTGTGTGTATATGTGTGTATATATATGTGTATATATGTGTATATATATGTGTATATATGTGTATATATGTATATATGTGTATATATGTGTATATATATGTGTGTGTGTATATATATATATACACACTCAGGACCTACTATGTGCCAGGAATCATTTTAAGTGCTGGGATAAAGCAGTGAATAAAACACCAGACATGGTTGCTCACACCTCTAATCCCAGTGCTTTGGGAGGGTGAGACAGGAGGATGACTTGAAGCTAGGAGTTCAGGACCAGCCTGGGCAACAAAGCAAGGCCTCCATCTCTAAGAAAAACTTTTTAAAAATTAGCTGAGCATTATAGTCCCAGCTACCCAGCTACTTGGGAGGCTGAGGTGGGAGGATCGCTTGAGCCCAGGAGTTCGAGGCTGCAGTGAGCTGTGATTGAGCCACTGCACTCCAGCCTGGACAATAGAGCAAGACCGTATAAAAACAAACAACAAAAAAAACAGAAAACAAAACACTGTCTTCATGAAGCTTACATTCAAGTGGAGTGAGATAGACATTAATCAAGACAAATGAGGAGAAAAAGGTATATTAGCCAGTGATATGCTGAGGAGAAAAATAAAGCAGGGAAGGGGCATGGGAAATGTTAAAATTAGAGTAGCCCGGAAAGGCTTAACTGAGAAAATGTCATTTGAGTCAAGGTTTAAAGGAGGTGAGGCAATGGATGTGCACACATTAGTCTAAATTTCTAGATACTTGATTTACTCAACTCTAAAGTGGGAACAAAAGCCACCTTGTTAATGACTTGTTCTGAGGATCAAGCCCAGTCATGAAGGGTATGTGGCCCAGGCATTGAATGGGTACATGACGGCAGCTGGCATTACTGTTCGTCATCGCCAGCAGCAGCAGCGCCATTAGAAACAGCCACTTGCTGGAACTGGAGATGGGTCATTTATACATTTACTATCCTCAAATGACCCTGCTGAGGAAACTCAGGTAATAGTTGGATTCTGAATATTGAATGAAATATGCTAGCCTTGGAGGAGCGACATGTGGTTTCAATATTTCTATCAGAATCTTGGCAGGAAATAAAGGGTGCCCTCATATTGGATAATTTGAAGAGTTTAAAAGAAGGCTATTTAAAAGATCGTCAAAGTGTAGGGAAAAGAGTAGTGCAGTGCCCAGAATTAGTAATGACAAGCACTGCTACCACCCCTCTATCCCCCATCCATCCCAGACCTGACAGGACAAGAGGAGAAGGTGCTTACCAGAGGCAGAGTCAGAGGGCCCCATGGAGAGGGCGCATGACGGGGCATGTGTGGCCTTTGGTGGGGAGATACAGCCAGCCTGCAGTGACTCCACAGAAAGGGAGCTGGAGAGTGAATACACCAGTGTCATTCTCCTTAAGCCCATCAGGGCTCCCCACTGGCCAACCCAGCTTGAAGTCACAGGGCAAGAGAGCCTGTGGAGCCGCTCCTGCAGGTCAGCCTCCCAGGGACCCAGCAGGTGGAGAGGGTGGGAGGAGCCCAGGCAGACACCCAGCAGAGTAGTGAAAGCAAATCAGTCATGACTCCCAGTGAGCCAGGCCACTCACTATTACTATTCTCCTCTGTGTTCAGGGAAAGCAACCCAGTTCTTTCCTTCCTTAGACGACCCTTTCACCACATTTGTTGCTTTCCTCTGGGTACTGCTCTTCCTCCTGCCCCTCCTAAGGTGCAATATTTGGTCAGGTGTTTGAGACATAACCAGATACATTAAAAATAAGGCCCAGTTGTGCATAAAGCCAGAGACTATACTGCTAAGCCCAGCCCATCTCTACCCCAGGAATGGTACTGGGACAAGAGTGAGATGGTCAGTTTGTCACTCACCAACATGAAAAAGGCAAGGCCAAACATGGTCTTGTCCAAAAGTGTATCAGTGTCACCGTTTTATTTTTTTAATGGGGCTCAAGCTATGACATTAAGTAAAAAAGGAACCAGATGTGAAACCATGTAAACAATACAATCTCAACCATGTAATAATTATGTGAATGTATAGAAATAAGACTAAAAAGAAATACTCAAACTCTCTGCATTGATTATTTATAGAATGTAGATTAGGATGATTTTTTAAATCCCTTATCCATATTTTTCCAAGTTTTATCAAGGAAAAGTTGTTCCTTTTAAAATAAAAGAGAAAACAGTAAAAACTTATTGCTGTTTGTTTTTTTTTAATAGAAGGAACATGACCTGTTTCCTGTAATTCACATCTCTATTTATCTCCCCAGTAAGTTATAACTTTCATTTGTGGGAAACTTTATTCCAGGATCACTAAAAAAATTTTTTTTTTACTAAACTGATTATTTTGTTGTTTGTAAAGAAAATGATTTTATAGATAATTTTGTGGTTTTTTTGTTTTTTGTTTTTGTTTTGTTTATTTTTTTTGGAGATACAATCTCGCTGTGTCCCAGGCTGGAGTGCAGTGGTGCAATCTCAGCTCACTGCAACCTCTGCCTCCTGGGTTCGAACGATTCTCCTGTCTTAGCCTCCCAAGTAGCCACCCGGGATTACAGGCGCCCGCCACCATGCCTGGCTAATTTTTGTATTTTTAGTGGAGATGGGGTTTCACCATGTTGGCCAGGCTGGTCTCGAACTCCTGATCTCAAGTGATCCACCCACCTTAGCCTCCCAAAGTGCTGAGATTACAGGCATGAGCCACCATGCTTGGCTGATAATTTCTAAAAAGAGAATGCTAAGCAGTTTAAAATATATTTTCTAAATGCTGGTTTACTTTTGATTCATGTTTATATGTATAATACTAAAAGTATGCTTTGAGAGCTTCAGTCCGTGGGCGTCAAGTTTATTCTCACCAGCTACTAAAATTCTTAGGCTAGAAATATATAATTATAAAACATTAAATGTAATCTAATTATCATTTTCTTATATTGGATTAACCACAAAGTGGATCCAGAGAGACGGCTGTTTTAGTACAGTGCAATTTTTTCTTTACTCTAAGCCCAATCCTGTTTTGCTCAACAAATCTTTTCTGAGTACATGGCAGGTATGCCTGGCACTGGATTAGGCTCTGGGAATATAACAAAGAATGAGACAAAGCTCCTGCCCTTAAGGAGTAGCAGCAGCAAAGACAGAAGTCTAAGGAAATGATTTCGATCCAGCGCAAGAACAGCAAAAGCTAACTGCAGCGGGTTATGAAAGCCCAGAAAAGCCACTCAAGTAAAAAAAATTAATAAATAACAAATAAATAAATCCACCTAACCTACTTGCTGCTGAGCTTGCCAACTCCTTGGTGACTGGAACTCTTTGTTTTTTATTTTTCACTGGGCTGATCAGGATGGAGTTCAGTGTAACCAGGCTTGAGTGGTAAGAGACGTCTCAACAGGCCTGATTCTGCTCAGCTGCCCACGCCCTCATCACCCTTTCAAAGGTGAGGAGAGCTGCATCCTCAAGAGACAGGAGCAATGACTCACTGAGGCCAGCTGCCCCCTTCAAGGCAGCATCTCTTAATTCAGGACAGTATTCTCTGCTTGCTTGGGAGAACCATCTGCTTGCAAGTTGCCAAGAAGTTACAAAGTTGGTTTTGGTAGTGGAATGGAGAAGACAGAGAGTGAAGAATAAAATAATGCTAAAGAATTTGGACTTTTTTGGGGAAAAAAAAGACTTCATTTTTGGGGAAAAAAAAGACTTCATTTTTGGGAAACGTGGAGTGCTGTGAATGGTGGATGGTTTTGTCATAGGCTGAGGAGCCACTGCAGGTGATGAGCAGAGAGCTGTTGCATAGAACGTAGGCAGAGATGCTGTTCAGGTGGCGTGCCCTGGTTCAGCCGAATAGCAGATCATGGTAAAGTCTGCTCTACCCGGTTGGTGCTTGTGCCAAGCAATGCCAATTATTAAATGCTTGGACCATCTTCCCTACAGGTATGTGTACCTTAAATAGCTGTGTCAGCAGACAGGTACCTTTCTCGTTGTTCCCTCGAGCCTGTTTATGTTTAGTCACTGAGTTGTAAATTCTTACCATAATGGAAGAGTTAATGCCATAGGTTTTAGTTCAGGCATGCTTTAGTTTGGGGCTTAAATGTGACTGTGTGTGTTTGTCTATAGAGACAGGGTCTCTCTCTGTCACCCAGGCTGGAGTGCAGTGGTGCAATCGTAGCTCACTATAATCTCAAACTCCTAGGCTCAAGTGATCCTCCTGCCTCAGCCTCCAGAGTAGCTAGAACTACAGGTGCACATCACCATGCCCAGCTAATATTTTAAATGTTCTGTAGAGACAGAGTCTTACTATGTTGCCCAGGTTGGTCTTGACCTCCTGGACTCAAGAGATCTTCCTGCCTTGTTCTCCCGAAGCACTGGGATTACAGATGTGAGCTACCGTGCCTGGCTGTGACTCAGTTTAGATTTGGAATATTTGATGATATTAGAATAATTCATCATGTAGACCTTCTCTTTTTTAATAATATCCTGAAGAATTTTGGTAAATTTTACCTGCATCTTGTAAGCAAATCTTCACCTTTCCCATACAATTACATCATTCTCTCTAGTCCTGTGAATTCTTTAAAAACCTTAATCTTTTATAATTATATGAAGCTTGCCTTCTTTAAGATGTCTTTTGTTATTGGTTGTAATTAGAGCCCCCTAAATATTTTAAATGCTTCTTTAATAAAATGGAAAGTCAGGATTCAAAACCTATTAAAACTCTGCCAGGTTGTCCAGCTGTCCCGGCCACTCTTTTAGCTGAAATCCTAAAAGCTGTCTGAGATCTGGAAGAGATCTGGAACAACTGGGACCCAAAGTGCCATGGAAATCAGCAGATTGGCCACACTTTACTCTGGTTTCATTCTGTCACAATGACTCTAAACTATCTATTTCAGCCCAAGGCCAAAGGCTCTGTTGACTGACCAAAGTTACAAACCACAGTAAAACTTTTTTTGCCAATTGTCCACCGCAAGTTAATAAATGAGAAAGTTTAGGGCCCCTGGCACAGTGTTCTCTTTTCAGGAGTGAAAATGACTTTTTATTAGCCACCCTAGCCTTGCCTTTTTTTTCTTTTCTCATTCCTTTCTTGCTGGAACAAAGATTTAGACCACCAGGATTGTAGTACTAATTAAAACATCAATTTGTTACCAATAAGAAACTTAATTAGCAGAAGGAAAAATGTAATAGTGGAGATAAATGGAAAGAGTGCCAAGCTTCCGAAAGGTAAAGGTGATAGCTAGTATTCGTAAAGCTGTCTGCTGTTTACCCCTGCTGTTTTACATACTTAACCTTATTCAATCCTGACAGTGGTTGCTATTCTCCCCTTTACAGGTGAGGAACTGAAATTGAGCACTTGAATGCCTGGAACCACATATCCAACCAATGGCAGCCATTGTCCTCTCAAAGCCGGTTCACTTGTTCTCAAGACACTTTATGTCGAGCCACAGCTACTTCATGTACTGGGAGCACCACTCCTGAAGAAGCTGACTCAGCTTCAATGCAAGGAAGAAAGTCTGACTAGTTAGGTGGAACATGGGATCTGTAAAGCATGGTGCTGTGCAAGAGGTGGTGGAATGCATGGGCAAATGATCTCTGGAGACTCTAGCAATCATTCCGAAGTCTGTGTTCAAGCAGTAAACAAACAGCACACTCAGTAACCAGTATTCTTGTAAAGATGGAGGATGGTAATTACATTCTGTGACTAGAATCAATGGGAAGTCGTTAATACTACTGGCCCTGAAAGGGTAAGGGAAGGCAGTTACCAGCAAGAGCTGTTGCTGGTGGCCTGGGGCTAACCTGACAAGTGCTCTGACTTGGGTGGCAGTATTAGGTAGAGAAAAGTAGCTACAGCCAAATGATAGCCTGGTACAGAAGGAGCCAGGGAATGAACAAGCTGACCACTCTCTCCTTGCTATCTGATCTTTTGCTGGTGCCTCTCACTGGCTAAGCCCAACCAGAAGTCGGGAGCACAGGAACCCAGGCGATGCTATCTGTGGAGGTCAGCTTCCCAGGGCACAAGGTATAGTGGAGATGAGTGAAGAGTGGGTCTGGAGTAGGATGGGCAAATGGAGAATATCTAGAACAGAAGCTTTTTCCAGACTAAGACCATATCATCCTACCCTTGAGGGCTCCATTTCCTGGCAGACTTGCATGCAGCATATAGGACTTCGGGATTCTTCCCTCTTTTTTGCCCCCTCAGGAACACCCCTTCCTTATCTCAATAATGACTTGAAAATTGCTGGATACTTTGGGGTATTGGATATTAAGGTGCTTATGTAAATTGCTTATAGTCCTATAGAAGAAAAAAGACATCATGATGATATTGCAGATTTGCACTCAACATCCATTCCACTTTAAGCGTGCTTTTTTATGCTACAAAGCCTGGAATGCTAAAAAAACAAAAATGAAAGCAAACCAGGGGCCATAACATCTTCCCCTCCTGCTCTTTCTGCTCATAACCATGGCCACAGAGCTCTTGGTTGCAGGTGATCAGAGGTGGGGTCCAGGGCGTTCACTTTGCTGGTGCAGATTGCAGCAAGGTAATATAATGCTGAGACTGGAACAGTCACCAGATCATAGTGACTTCCTGATTGTGGTGGACTCCCAATTGTGACAGTGGTGACATGATTTAAGAGCCAGTGGCTTTTTAGATCATGGAGGCAACAGCAGTTCTGTTGGCGACGTGGCTCTGCTGATGGTGTGTCTTAGTCCATTCAGGCTGCTATAACAAACTACCCTAGACTCAGGTGTCTCATAAACGGTATTTCTCACAGATCTGGAGACTGGGAAGACGAAGATCAACCTACCAGCAGATTCAGTGTCTGATAGAGGTCTGCTTCCTGGTTCAGAGGTAGCCATATTTTCACTGTAACCTCATGTGGTAGAGGGGGGCAAAGGATCTCTCCAGGGTCTCTTTCATAAGGGCACTAATCCCATTCATGAGGGCTCTGCCCTCAGGACCTAATCACCTTCCAAAGGTCCCATCTCCAAATACCATTCCATTAGGGATTGGGTTTCAACATATGAATTTTGGGGGCAACACAAACATTCAGTTCATAGCATGGTTCAACCTAGATTCTTACATGAAGTTCAGGGTTCCAAGAGTAGTCTTCCAGTAAATAAGGAGGAAGCTGCATGATCTTTTATGATCTAGCCCTAGAAATCACATGGCATCACTTCCACCATACTCTCTATGTCCACCTAGATTCAAGGAGTGGGGACTTAGATGCCACTTCTAGATGGGAGGAGTGTCAAAAAATTTGCAGCAATGATTTAGAGCCATCACAACTCCCTCCACAGACCCCATGCCCCATCATTCCACTTACCCTGTGGCTCTAGTCAAAGCCTCCACCTGGAATGGTTTAGATACTTGAAGAATCTCACCTTTAGGTCAAGGGCTAGACACAATACAGGTACTGATGCTCCTAACATTGTGTTTAATAGAGAATTAAGGGCGAAACTTTTTTTTTTTTGAGACGGAGTCTCGCTCTGTCACCCAGGCTGGAGTGCAGTGGCGCGATCTCCGCTCACTGCAAGCTCCACCTCTTAAGGGTGAAACTTTTTGACTAGCTTCCTAATGTTTTGAAATTTCCATTACATTGCCAGAAAAGGAATCAAAATATAGTCTTGCCTAGAAAAGGAGAGAAACCTTACTTTTGGTAATCCTTGGACCAGCATATTACCAAAATAGAAACTTGGACACACAAGATTAAAATGTGGGTCTAGTGATGAGTTGAGAGAATTGTTCCAGGATCAAGGCCAAAACCCAGGTTCTCCAACGAAGGCATAAGATCATAGCAAACTGCACATCAAAATTCACTTGATTCTGTGTCATTATCTTCATATCCTCCTGGGTAACTGCATGGTTGGTCTTGGAACCGAGACAGCTAAGCCTGGTATTGGGTGCTTTGCTTCTGTTCAGGAAAGAATGTGCTGCTCAGCAAGTTATTGATCTTCAATAACACTGACCAACATACATTTGTTGAGTAGATCCTATGTTTCAGGCATTGTTAGGCTCAGGGCAGATGTAGAGAAACAGATAGTGTTTTTCCCTGAAGGAGCTCAAATCTCATAGAGGAGATAGCAATAGATGAGTGAGCAAATAATCACAATACCATGTGATAAAATAGTATACCTGATCACCTCAATAGATGCAGAAGAAACATTTGACAAAATCCAGCATCCTTTCAGATTAAAACTCTCAGCAAAATCGGCGTACAAGGGACATACCTCAGTATAATAAAAGCCATCTATGACAAACCCACAGCCAACATAACACTGAATGGGGAAAAGTTGAAAGCATTTCCTCTGAGAACTGGAACAAGGCAAGGATGTCCACTTTCACCACTTCTAATTCAACATAGTGCTGGAAGTCTTAGCCAGAGCAATTACACAAGAGAAAGAAATAAAAGGCATCTAAATTGGTAAAGAGGAAGTCAAACTGTCACTGTTTGCTGATGCTATGATTGTATATATAAAAAACCCTAGACTCCTCTAAAAAGCTCCTATAACTGATAAAATAATTCAGCAAATTTTCCAGGTACAAAATTAATGTACACAAATCAGTAGCTCTCCTGTACACCAACAGCAACCAAGCTGAGAATCAAATCAAACTCCTTTTACAATAACTGCAAAAAATAAAATACTTAGGAATATACCTAACTGAGGAGGTGAAAGACCTCTGCAAGGAAAACTACAAAACACTACTGAAAGAAATCATAGATGACACAAACAAATGGAAACACATCCCATACTCACAGATGGGTAGAATCAATATTGTGAAAATGACCATACTGCCAAAAGCAATCTACAAATTCAATGCAATTCCCATTAAAATACCACCATCATTCTTCACAGAACTGGAAAAAAAAATTCTAAAATTCATATGGAACCAAAAAAGAGCCCACATAGCCAAAGCAAGACTAAGCAAAAGGAACAAATCTGAAGGCATCACATTACCTGATTTCAAACTATACTATAAGGCCATAGTCATCAAAAGAGCATGGTCATGATATAAAAATAGGCACATAGACCAATGGAACAGAATAGAGAACCCAGAAATAAACCCAAATACTTATAGCCAACTGATCTTCAACAAAGCAAACAAAAACATAAAGTGGGGAAAGAACACCCTATTCAACAAATGGTCCTGGGATCATTGGCAAGCCACATGTAGGAGAATGGAACTGGATCCTCACCTCTCAGTTTATACAAAAACCAACTCAAGACGGATCAAGGACTTAAATCTAAGACCTGAAACTATAAAAATTCTAGAAGATAACATTGAAAAAAACCTTCTAGACATTGGCTTAGGCAAGGATTTCATGACCAAGAACCCAAAAGCAAATGCAATAAAAACAAAGATAAATGTCTGGGACTTAATTAAACTGAAGAGTTTTTGCATGGCAAAAGGAACAGTCAGCAGAGTAAACAGACAACCCACAGAGTGGGAAAACATCTTCACAATCTATACATCTGACAAAGGACTAATATCCGGAATCTACAATGAACTTAAACAAATTAGCAAGAAAAAAACAAACAGTCCCATCAAAAAGTGGGCTAAGGACATGAATAGACAATTCTCAAAAGAAGATATACAAATGGCCAACAAACACATGAAAAAATGCTCAACATCACTAATGATCAGGGAAACGCAAATCAAAACCACAATGCAGTACCACCTTACTCCTGCAAAAAATGGCCTTAATAAAAAAAAATAGATATTGACATGGATGCGATGAACAGGTTACATTTTCTACACTGTGGGTGGGAATGTAAACTAGTACAACCACTATGGAAAATAGTGTGAACATTCCTTAAAGAACTAAAAGTAGAACTACCATTTGACCCAGCAATCCCACTACTGTGTATCTACCCAGAGGAAAAGAAGTCATTATATGAAAAAGATACTTGTGCACACATGTTTATAGCAGCACAACTCACAACTGCAAAATCATGGAACCAATCCAAATGTCCATCAATCAGTGAGTGATAAAGAAACTGTGGCATATATATACACGATGGAATACTACTCAGCCATAAAAGGGAATGAATTAATGGCATTCACAGCAACCTGGATGGGATTGGAAACTATTATTTTAAGTGAAATAGTTCAAGAACGGAAAACCAAACATTGTATGTTCTCACTCATAAGTGGGAGCTAAGCTATGAGGATGCAAAGGCATAAGAATGACACAATAGACTTTGGAGACTCAGTGGGAAAAGGGTGGAAAAGGGTTGAGGAATAAAAGACTGCAAATAGGGTTCAGTGTGTACTGTGCAGGTGATGGGTGCACAAAAATCTCACAAATCACCGCCAATAAACTTACTCATGTAACCAAATACCACCTGTTCCCTAAAACCTAGGAAATAATTTTTTTTTCTGAGACAGAGTCTTGCTCTGTTGCCCAGGCTGGAGTGCAATAGTGCAATCTCGGCTCACTGCAAGCTCTGCCTCCTGGGTTCATGTCATTCTCCTGCCCCAGCCTCCTGAGTAGCTGGGACTACAGGTGCCTGCCACCATGCCCGGCTAATTTTCTGTATTTTTTTTTTAATAGAGACGGGGTTTCACCGGGTTAGCCAGGATGGGTCTCAATCTCCTGACCTCGTGATCCACCCGCCTCAGCCTCCCAAAGCGCTGGGATTACAGGCATGAGCCACCGCGCCCGGCCAAAAAAAAGTTTTTTAATTAAGTGCTAAGTGTTATAGGTGCACAAAAACGGGAGTGATCTGTTTTAAAGCCTTTGGTAAAAGACGACTTTTGAGCTGAGTTTTGTCAGGTTAAGAAGATAGCAAGAGCCTCTTGAATAGAGAAAACATCCCGTGAACAATATTGAGGTGCGAGACTATGTTATATACAAAGAACAATGGATAATCCTATGAAATTGGGGTGTTGATTTTAAGGAGGGTGAGGTGGAAGTGAAAGCTAGAAAATGGATTTGGGTCGGATTTTCAAGGTTTTTATATTTCAGGCTAAGTTTGGGGGTTTTACTCATAAACAATAGTCGAGGATGCAAAAGAGTAGAAAATGTGGCAAAACATGCGTGCTATACAAGCTGTTTTTCATCAGTGAGGCCAAGAATGTCCTGCGACTCAGAGCTTTGTCATCTTTGATGTTTTGCAAACCTCTTTTGGAGCCAGACTCCAACTGCAAATTTCAGACTTTCTCTTATGTTTATGACCTTGTATTTTTCAAAAGGTTTAAAATTTCACATTGCTGCTATGTTCCATCCAGTGAAGGCAAGGTTACCTGCCAGAAATAATCTGAAAGGCAAACAGTACAGTTTTACCAGTTTCTCTGTTATGTCATTCATTTCCAAGTAAAGAATAGATCAACAAACAGACAAAATCCTTTTTGTCCCCAGACAGAATTTAAAAGGTTAATTTTATACATGTTGGTAGATTGTTTTCTCCTACATGTGGTACAAACCACCCGCTAGAGGCAAATTACTTAAATCAGCTCTCGTAACCACACATACATATTTATGCAGCCAGCAGTGGGAGGTGTGGAGGGCAGGGGGATTCCAGGTGACTCAGTATGTCTGGCATCTGGGTCAAGAATTTCAACCGATGGCAGAGGGGTTGCCACCATAATAGGTGCTGTGTATGAACTGCCACCAAATCACTGCATGTGATTTGTGCCGTGTGAGGTCCTTACAGATCTGTTTTGAGGCTAGGCAACCCTTAATGTGAAGCAGCTTTGATTTTTTCCAGCTCATTCAGCATGGACGGCCTGGAGGACTTGCTTTCCTGCTAGCTTCTTAGGTGTCTAACTCCTAGTTAGTTGTGGTAAGTCTGTCCTGGAGTTTAAATTTTCCCAGTATTGACATAAATCACTGCACATTGGAAAATTTCTAGGTGGCTCAACTATATGCAGCACATGGTGCCCAACGTGGGGGAACGTTCATTTTTCTCTCCCATTTCTTTTAAGTGAAACTGCCATGAAAAGTAGACATTGAACTGTATTTTAATCAGTATTATTCCTCTTTCTTGCTGTGGAGATATCCAGTTACCTTGCACTGACAGATCTTTGTCTTAGGAAGATCCATCTGCTTAGCCCCTTTTAGCAAAGGGCCCAGATGTTGCTGCAAATAAATTGCAAACTGGCACAAAAGCCAAGGAGATTCAAAGGAGAAGGTTAGGAATGCCAAGCCCCTTCCTTCTTTGAGATGTTAATAAAACATCTATACTGGATTAAACTGGCCACAGTACAAGGCCACGAGGCAGACAGCACTATGACCCCATGGAGAAGCTCACCTCTGGAGAGAACAATGTGGCACAAGATTTCAGTTTCTTCCCATGGCCTGGGTAGTCATGGCAGATGGTTCGACACGGGCTGATGTGGGAGACCCTCCTCTCTGACCCTCCTAGACACTCCACCACTGTGCGTGGCCTTGAGGAAATGACCAAGAGTGAGTTTAAACCATATAGTTCTCTTTCTCAAAAACTTTTAGTTTTTGACTTAACATCTTAAATATAAACATCCCAACTGGATATTCAAGGCCCCAAAATCTGACCCTGAAGTTCTTTTCCCAGGTTGTTTTTCCAAATGACCCCTACAAGGTTGCTCTGGTCGGTCGACTTGAATAGCCTGATATGCTCCTTTCTCACCTCCTTGCCTTTGCTCGGTTGGGAACATTCTCCCTCTTTCTACGTATCAACACCCCGCTCACCCTCTGAGACCCAGCTCATATGTAACTTCCTCCAAAACTCCTCTCCTAAATCCCTCCCACCAAGATTTCCTTCTCTGGTTTACTTTTCTCTTGCACGTTTCCACTGCTCTTCATGCACTTATGTACTGGAGCCTCATCTGTTTTTAGCCTGTACACTGAAAGACACCATTGTAGGTACTGTGAGTTGCAGCCCAGAAACACAGGAGATCTGTAAACGGTTACTGAATTGCAACAAATTGTGTTGTCAAAGGTCACACAGCTGGTTAGCGATAGCAACAGAGGTAGCAATCACCTTTCCTGACACCTAATCTGATAGTGTCAGTAAAATAAACTGGAATCCTCTTTTCTTCTAAAACTTACATGTATCGCTTAAAAAGTATGACATGTATGGTATATATCATAAAAAATCTTTTAATATGTCTTTATCACTTCTTTCTGGCTATAAGTAACCCTCCCAGTTGTCAATGAGAAGCGTGTTTACCAGGCAGAGAGAGCATGCAGCATGCTGGTGGGTGCAGCAACGCTGTGTTCTGCCCAGATCTCCTTGGATCCCCTGTAGGAGTCTGTGCTCCTGTTGGACTTCTGTGTGCCTGTACTTCTAAATGGCCTGCAACGGCAACTCACCTTGAGCCCTGCCCTAGGGTACCAGAGCCATTTTTCCCACACACAGAAAACTGTCTGCATACCTAGGAATGTATGTTTCCTTGGGGTGGCCCTTAGTCAATGAGTGATTGGTGTGGATGTATGAAAGACCAACTGCCTGGCCTCCAGTTGGGACAAGCTCTAAGGCATAATTCATTCTCCTGAGCTGCTCTCCTGCAGGAGCAGGCGGGAGCTGGGACTTTGCCTGATATCGTGCCTTCGCTCAGATCCTTCTCATCCCTGTCCTGCTTCTCAAACTCCCCCCTGCCCCACCCCGGCCTCCTCACAGGCCACTTTCTCTATACATCCCTTGCCCATGAATCCACATCTCAAGGTCTGCTTTGGAAGAACTTAAACTAAGGCTGTGTTGTATGGAAGACAATGGAAGATGGAGCAAGACTTAATCATTGCTCACAAAGACCAAAATCAAATGGAAAGTCCCCTCTATGGACAGTTGACGTTCCTAAGTGGCTCTTTTTGGCTCACAATCAGAAGCATCCAGAGTTCAAAATGCACAGTCCAGATGATGACACACATGAGGACTGAGGCTTTGTAAGTCTCACATTAACACAATATTACATTTGGCCACATCCCCTGGCCTTTTGACTGTTTACATCCTCAGAATTGAGGGGTGTTTGAGAAGGCCTGCCACCAGGAAGAGTGCCGGTCACTGGATTATTGAGTGACATTGGACTCTGCCTACTTTCCCAAAGTGAAAAAGTCTGTTACTGCAGCAAAGGCAGTGCTGAGGAGCGAAATGTATGTGGATGACATTGAATATAATTGACCATCATTTCCTATTTGCCGTCTTCCTATGTCCACAGGCTGGAATACCAATATTGCCCAATCAAAGGGCAACTTCTCTGAAAGAAATAGAGAAAAGAGTAGGATGCAGCTCTATTCCTGGGTGCTCCCTCTCACGTGGTCCTGAGGCACTTAGCACTTTCATAATCACTGTTGTAAGAACCTGCTTCCTTTTCTTAGACTGTGAGATCTCTGAGGACAAAAACCCATCTTGCACGTGACTGTGTTTCCAGAGCCTGGCACAATGCCTGGCACTAAGTAGGTGCTCAATAAATATGTTCTGACTCTACATGGGAGCCCTTTGAACATGAGGCTGGGTCCCTGGAGTCTGATCACATTAGGTTTACCTTCTTAGAACGGATATAGATTAAAGGATTCTGGAGTTGAGGCTGTCCCTGCTATGGGCCACAGTCGTCACATACCAGAGAAATGGCTGCTCCAGTTGCCTCTTGAACCATTTCCAATGTTTCTGCCTGCTAAGTTTTAGTAAGAAGTGCTCCTCCTGGAGACCCTGAAGGAGGCACAGTTTCCTCAGACCTAGGAAATCTTGGAGGAAGGCTCATTAGAGTTCCCTAGCTTAAAAAAGAAACAAATTTGACATGGTCTGAATTCATTGTTCTGGAAATTACAAGACTTATTTTAATAGAAGCAAGTCCCTGGTCCAGGAGAATGGAGACCAGACTCTGGAAGGGAAGAGAGTTCTGGAAGGTTGTCTCTGCCTTGGATTCATCTTTGCAGTCTTACCACCTGAACATTAGTTGTAGTGAATGTCACTTGTGTTGGGTGCCTCTGAGAGCCAGATTGTTCTTCCTCCGAATGCCCTGTGATTGAGCCACTGGACTGTGAGGTCCACCAGTAGGACCTGTTTCTTTCTCCAGTACCCAAGGAAGAGTTACAGAATCCTGATGGGGGCCATCAATAAAATCACAATTTTCCATCAGGATCAAATACTTGGGAAGTGATGCCAAGGGCAAAATAAGAAAACTAGAGCTGAATGTTTTTATTTATTTTTCAAGCTAAATATCTGTGAGAGGTTTGTAAAAACATTTACTATTTTTAATATTCTCATACCTTAAAAGTTGAAGCCATCTTTGGCTGCCACAGGGTAATTAGAAGCAGTCTGCTTCCTCCCTGTCCAGTTTCCCAGACGTTGGGAGAGTGGAATGTTGGCTGAAGAAGGGAAGATTGTGCAATGCTTTTTATTTTTTATTTATTGCTAAAGAATTGATACATTGTTTAATAAGTTCTTTAAGAAAATTCTATTCTCTGATTTACCTTCCAAATGGCTTGAGTGGTGATGGAAGATTTAAGTCATTTTGTGTTTTTTAGCATTGCAGTCCATATCAAATTCCATACCTTCCTTAGTATACTTATTATTTGCCCAGTAACATATAGAGTAAGATCCATATTCCCAAGTCAAATTCTGAAGAAAGGTCTACTTTTAGATTTATTTTTAGTTTTTTAGTTTGTTTATACTTGACACCAAAACCACAAAATATTTGTATGAGCCAACGCTCAAAAGAGTGCTTCCATAAGCTTGTTACTAGAAGTTGCTTTTGGTCCTAAATTGCCAAGGAGGCAAGACTCCAAACATAGGTTTCCTGTTGGGGTCCTTGGGCAATATTACTTTCTGCCAAATGCCCTTTTTGGGGATTAACTTTTTTTAAAGCAACAAGTTAGAAAATAGTGAGTGTATTTTAAAACAGCTGCAAATATATGAGTTAACAGAGTTAGAAATGAGGTTGTCAGTTACCACAATTCATCAGTTCTTCATCCAATAAATATTTATTAAGTATCTATCATCTTCCAGGAACTACATGTTGGTTTAAGCCAAATTTAACTTTAAGATAAATTGAAGTTTACTATTGCCTTCCAAATAGTAAATGTTACAGAAACAGGAACAAACACTAGGTTTTAAGATAATCACAATAATTTTATTCCAATAGTTTTCAAGGTGACTGGTTCTGTTAAGGGGAAAAAAAAACCTTTTGATAAAGAAGTAGACCAGGCACAGTGGCTCACGCCTGTAATCCCAGCACGTTAGGGGGCTGGGGCAGGAGGATCATTTGAGCCCAGGCAAAACAGGGAGACCTCATGTCTACTAAAAATTAAAAAAAAAAAATTGGCCAAGTGTGGTGGTCTGAGCCTGTACTTCCAGCTACTCTGGCAGCTGAGGCAGGAGGATGGCTTGAGCCAAGGAGATGGAAGCTGCAGTGAGCAGTAATTGCATCACTGCACTCCAGCCTAAGTGACAGAGCAAGACCCTGTCCGAAAATTAAAAAAAAAAAAAGAATTAGGCAAAGTCAAGGCTATCATTTTAATATCTACATTCCTAAGCTTTTCTCCTCAATAATCATTTGAAGTAGACAAAAGACGAAAATAAGAAAGTAAGAAGATCTGATAACTCCATAGGAAATTTTACCCAACAGAATACTTTCTGACAGCAAATTAAAATTCTAAAGCCATAGAGCATCTACATAATGGTGGCCATCTTAGGACGGTGAGTATCAGTATCAATCACTTTATATTGTTGGAAACATGCACATCATACATTCAGGCATTTAATTTTTTGATAAAGACTTAATGTCTACAAAAATGCACATTAATTCATTTTAAAAATGATTATTTTATTTCTAATTGACACATAATACCTGTACATATTTATGGGGTAGAATGTCATGTTTTGATACATATATTATACATTGTGTAATGATCAAATCAGGATAATGAGCATAGACATCACCTCAAACACTTTTTATTCCTTTGTGGTAAGAACATTCAAAATTCTCTCTTCTAGCAACTTGGAAGTATACAATACGCTATTGTTGACTATAGTCACCCTACTGTACCCTGGAACACCAGCAGTATCCATCCAATGGACCTGTACCTTTGTACCTGTTGACAGCCTGTCCCCATCCCCCTCTCCTCCTTACTCTCCCCAGCCTCTGATAACCACCATTCTACTATCTACTTCTATGAGATCCATTTTTTTATATTCCACCTATGAGTGAGATCATGCAGTATTTGTCCTTATGTGTGGAGAAAGGGGAATTCTTATACACTGTTGGTGGAAAAGTAAATTAGTACAGCCATTATGGAAAACAGTATGGAGTTTCCAAGAATTAAAAATAGAAGTACCACGTGATTCAGCAATACCACTGCTGGGTATATATACAAAGGAAATGAAATCAGTATGTCAAAGCGATATCTGTACTCTCATATTTATTACAGCACTATTCACAATAGCCAAGATATGGAATCAACCTAAGTGTTCATCAACAAATGAATGGATTTTTTAAATGTGTTATATACATATGATGGAATACTATTTGGTCATAAAAAACAAAGTCCTGTCGTTTGTGAGAATATGGATAAATCTGGAGGACAATGTGTTAAGTGAAACAAGTCAGGCACAGGACAAATATTGCACTGGTTCTTGACTTGTCTCCCTCTGTGTAGTAATTCAGAGTCTATGGTAAAATGAATAAATGCTTTTTTCCCCCCTAAAAGATCCACTAAGCATCACATGTATACACTCTTGTCATCTCATTCAGGAATATCAAGTTAACCTAATCTTTTGCTTTCAGCTTGCTTTTTGGAAGCACTGATTAAATCATTTACACTAGGTATAAAATAAAAATTTACATAAAAACATTGAAATATGTAATTTGTCAATGAAATATCGAGTAGTGGCATTTAAAGCACTCTGTTTGCTGCTGGATTTGGTAAAGGTGAATAGGATACTGAGTCTGCCTTCTAGAAGCTTGTAATCAGTGGGGCTGACAAACTCAGACAAGAACAATTCAATGTGTGCTAAGGAGGTTTGCACAGAGGAAAGAGAATTAACCCTGCCTGGGATGGAAGGAAGGGTGAGTCAGGGAAGTTGATACTTAAGAGGTGACTTCTGAGTTTGAGTTGATTCTGGGAAGTTGAGTAAGTGTGAGTCAGAAGGATTAGATGAGAGAAGAAGATAAAGAGGAAACTCAAGAAGCTATAATAGAAAAGATAGGCCGGGCACGGTGGCCCACACCTGTAATCCCAACTCTTTGGGAGGCGGAGGCAGATGGATCACTTGAAGTCAGGAGTTTGAGACCAGCCCGGGCAACATGGTGAAACACCACCTCTACTAAAAATACAAAAATTAGCCAGGCCTGGTGGTGCCTGCCTATAGCCCCAGTTACTTGGGAGGCTGAGGAAGGAGGATTGCTTGAGCCCTTGAAGCAGAGGTTGTAGTGAGCTAAGAGCATGCCACTGCACTCCACCAGCCTGGGTGATGTGAGTGAAACCCTGTCTCAATAAATAAATAAATAAATACAAAGATAGACATGTGTTTATATAATATTAAAAACTCATATCATGCCAGGCACAGTGGCTCACACCTGTAACCCCAGCTTTGGGAGGCTGAGGTGGGACGATCACTTGAGTCCAGGAATTCCACACCAGCCTGGGCAACATAGCAAGACCCCGTGTCTAGAAAAAGCTTAAAAATTAGCTAGGCTTGGTGGCGTGTGCCTGCGGTCCCAGCTACTCAGGAGGCTGAGATGGGAGGATCACTTGAGCCCAGGAGGTAGAGGTGTAGTGAGCTGAGATTGAGCCACTGCACTCCAGCCTGAGTGACAGAGGGAGACCCTCTCTCAGAACAAAGCAAAACAAACAAAACTCACAAAACCCCAAAAACCTCATATCATACAAGAAGTTTTGGACAGAACAGGTACAAGGTACAATATTGTTGATACTAGAATTTACTTACCTGGAAAAAATATTTTAATTCAAATAATGCTGAAAAATTAGTATCAACATCATTTTATACAAAGATTTATTTTAAATTGGCTAGAAGTACATACAGTCTGGGTGCGATGGCTCACGCCTGCAATCCCAACACTTTGGAAGGCCCAGGCAGGCGGATTGCTTGAGGTCAGGAGTTCGAGACCAGCCTGGTCAACATGGTGAAACCTCATCTCTACTAAAAATACAAAAATTAGCTGAGCATGGTGGCAAGCACCTGTAATCCCAGCTACTCGTGAGGCTGAGGCAGGAGAATCGCTTGAACCTGGGAGGCGGAAGTTGCAGTGAGCTAAGATTGCACCACTATACTTCAGCCTGGACAACAGACAGGGCAACACTCATTTAAAAAAAAAAAAAAAAGTACATATAATATGATCTCATCTTTGTAAAAAAAAAGAATGGCATGCACCTGTATAAAATGTATGTGTGAAAATGCATTTGTGTGTTTACATATTTATTTAAATAGCATTAGATGAGCATTGGTAAAACTATGGAAGAAACAGTCATGTAAACAACATGGTTTCCTTTGGAGAGCGGCTCATGTGAGAAGAAGGGGAAGAAAGAAGAAAGGGTGAGCTAAGAAAAAAAGGGAAAAATATAGCTTAAAAGGTGTGATTACATCTATGCATGTATACATATGCATACATGTGTACAATATAGGTATATGTATATACAGAGTGTTGGGGGGGGAGAGAAAAAAGACAGAATGGTTTATAAGAAAAGAAAATGACATACAAACTGAGGGGCATTCGGGGCAGATTGGATACCTTGTGTGAAACCACCAGCACATTTAAAAGATTGCAGAGAGTCACTGCATAGGGTGTGGGTGAGACCTGCCTTTTCACTTCTTCAGTATCTGATAGTCCTATCAGCTATCACTGATAAATGTAGGTGGGGTGGGTGATTTTTCCTTTTAAGCCGGCTGATGTTTCTTTCTTACAGGAATTTATAACCCATATCTTGGCCTTGTCATTGGCAAAGAGGAAGATTTCTTTCCAAAGAGGAAGATGTTAATCTTCAGGCCTAGATTTTCTGGTTCATTATATCATATGACATCAATAGCAAGGGAATCAGAGAGCACAGGCCTCTGGATCAGCATCTGAACCAGCAGGATGGAGCACTGGTACACATCTGGCCTTGCCTCAGACCCACTGGAATCAGCTCACCTTACCTCTTCACTCTCAAGAGTCCCATTTGCAAAAGAGAGCTTACACTGTGTGCCTTGGAGGAATGGCAAGCAAGCACATGACAAATTCTCATAAACAACCTTGATATAAACATGCCAGCTACAGAAGGCATGGTTCTGTTCCCTGCTGCCCTTAAGCTTCCAAGTAAAAGTATTTCTTTTGTCTACTCGAATAATGGAAATACTTTTCATAGGTGTATACATATGTTTACTAAATCAATTCTATGTATTGTCTTCTGCATGTCATACCTGCTGCTGTCACAGTTATAATTAAGTGTTACTGCAATTCAAATGTAGAGTAACCACTGTCAGCCTGAAAACTGGGCTGAGAGGTAGGGAAAGGGATTGAGCCACTCTGAGCCACACTGATTTCATAGGTTTTAAGCATGGGTGAGAGAACCAAAAACCATAGCCAGATGAAGGCAGAAGAGAAATGGTGTTAAATAGATAAAATTGGACAAAGAAGAAAAGGGAATAGGGATTAGGAAGGAAAGATATGGACAAAGGTAGGAAGATAATCCAGGAGCCACTACAATAACTGAAAGGGACCCTTTCCAGTCATGTCTGTCTATTTTGCTGTGAATGAAAAATAAAGGGCCTGTGAGGCAAGATCTCAGCCAGGATCACAGAGGGAGTCAGGAGCCCACAGGTGTAATGCTGTTGAGCTTGATCCCTAAGCCAAGCTGCGCTTTCGGCTTTGCCATGTACTAGTTGTAAATTATTTAACTTCTTGTGCCTCTATTACTTCATCTGTATAATGGAGATAAAAATGTCAACAATAATATCTACAAGAGCAGGCTATTACAAAGATAAAGTGAATAAATTGGCATAAAGTGTTTATGACACTGCTAGCACAGAGTAGGTACTGTATATGTGCTAGTCCCTATTATTTCCTGTTTTCAGAAGGTAGAAGTAAGCACTTTCTACTAGGATCTGTGAATCCTTTTCCCTGAAGGCAGACAAAATATTTAAATATTTGGAACAAAGAGAATTAAAAAAAGAAACATGCAATGTTTGCAGAATTCTTGTGAGAAGTTCCTTCTCAACCAAAAAGTTTGCTTGCATGTTGTTTAATGTTTTCATTAGAAAACAGTGTCTTAAATGAGGAAGGACAATTGGTATTGAGTCTGTAATAAAAGAGGAAAGGGACTGTGACTAGAGGCCGCCTTGGTCTACCATTTCTGACCAAGGCGAGGTAACCAAAGGGCCCAGAAACTGTCACCCCACTGAGCTTGGCTGTGATTTGTGGACAAAACCCTCTTTATCCTTCTTTTTGTCCAAACTGAACTGAGTCAGTTCAGAAATCCTGGACTTCTCAGATGTTCAGCGTTATGTCACTTTGGCAGAGAGCAGAGGGGATGTCTGAATGCTGCTTAGCTCTGTCTTAAGTAGGAAATAAAGGGACAAGGAAAACCCTTTGACTGGGTTCTCTCTTCTTATCTGAAACTTGTGTCTCCTGCAACCTAAGTTTTCTACCTTCTTGTGATTTAAGTAACCAAAGTGAGGCCTAGATGGCACAAGGGAATGATTTCCAAAGTTTGGCCAACCTAAAACAGGGCCCAACTCAGAAAGGTAGAATTGAACATTAAAACATCTTTCTGGAGTTAATTAGGCATGGTGTATCACATGCCTTTAAAATATTTATACTCTTTCATACAGCAATTCTAAGTATTTATCCTAAAAAAAAACAGTAGATGTGCACAAATATTTTACTATTCAAGGATGTTCATTACAGTTTTGTTTTTAATAGTAAAAAATTGGAAACAATCTACATTTCCAAAAATAATCCTAATTAAATTAAGTATGATTCATGCATTTTGTAGACTCTTATGAAGAGGCTAAACAATCAACTATAGAAGAAGGTTTATTAATGTAGGAAAATGTTCACAATTCATTGGCAAATAAATTTTGCAGAAAACCTCAGTGATAGGTAGAAGAATCGAAGGATAACTAAACCCTCCTCGATCCGTACATTTTATCCTATAGAAAGAGGGACTATTTACAATGAAAATAAAATAAAGCTATTTATTAGATGTAGTGGAGTGGACAGGAAAAGGAAAGAAGAAATTGGTGTATACCAAATATTCCTGTTCTCCCAGCTGTCCCCAACTTGGCGTTCTCACAATTCAAGCATTCTCCCGTAGGGCTATGGACTGATGTTCCTGTCCCCCCACAATTCATGTGTTAAAGCCATAACCGCCAATACAATGGTATTTGGAGACAGGGTCTTTAGGAAGTACTTAAGTTTAGATGAGATCATGACGGTGGGGTCCTTCTGATGGGATTAGTGCCTTTATGAGGAGAGGGAAAGAGAGAGATCTCTCTCCAAGCAAAGGCCATGTGAGAGCCCAGTGAGAAGGCGGCCGACCGCAGGCCCAGAAGAGAGCCCTTACTAGGACTCAATCACGTGGGTGACCTCATCTCAGACTTGCAGCTTCTACCCATTACCCAGCTACAAAGCCACTTTACATGTTTAGGTATTTATTATAGCAGCACCCCTCTTCATGGTACCAAAATCTATTTGTCAGCTTGGGCTGCCATAAGACAATACCACAGAGTGGGTAGCATAAACAAGAAAAATTTATTTCCTCATGGTTCTGGAGATGGGTGGATATACCCAAGATGGATATGGCTGGTGTGGACATGATGTAAGTCCCTCTCATAGACTACCCTGGGCTCCATGTGCCAAGGCTGCCCCAGGAGGGAAGCCAAAGGAGCAGAAGCATGTGGTGCAGGAATCCTGCCTTGACCAGAGCTCAGCCATGTCACGTCCCCCAGTCCCCTGCACACTTGTTATCCCGTGCTCCTGTCCATCTGCAGTGACTAAGGGCCCAGAAAGATACATACGTGTTAATGGTGGTTATCTCTGGGTGGTAGAATTATGAATAATTTTTATATTTTAATATTTCATGTAGCAAGCACAAATTACTCTTGTAGTTGGAGTGGGAGAGTCCATTAATTTAAATGTATGTCATGGATAGGCAGATCTTAGAGCAGGATAAGTGTCCAAAGAAAACAAATCATCCTGATTTTGCTCCTAACCTGTTGTGTGACCTTGGGCAAGTTGTTTCAGCTTCTGAGCTTCCATTCTTCTCATCTGTAAAATAAGCCAAATGACTGATAAAGTTCCTTCTAGCTTTGGCAGTCTGTGATTCAACAGATTTGCTTTTTAAGGGTGAAGAACAGGAGGGTAGCTTAAGAAGGTCACAGACTCTAAGGTATGCGTGTGAAAAAAATCTTTAAAGCTGATCAAGCGCAAAGCTAGTTGCAGTGTGTGAAATTTCTGTTTTAATTTTTCCTTTGAATTAGAACAAAAATCACATTAACATGAAACATCGTATCTGTTATGTGGGAGATGGGAATGACATGATCATTAGCTCTCCACCTAACAGGTATCTGTGAGTATTCATTCAGAAACCCCTGCGAAGGTGGTAATTAGATTAAAGGAGATTTTAGATTCATCTGAACACTTCTGGAAAATGACTCACTCATCTATTTGGTGAACATTTACAAAGCACATACCTCTGATTTGTCCTCAGGTATAAAGGTGCCTCATGCTATTCTCTGTCCTCAGAATCACCACAATGTTGTCCTATATTTTTGACTAGTTTTCCTTTTTAAAAGAACCTTGACAAATTGTTTTCAGATAAACATGACATCTTAATATAAAGACTCTCAAGCATTGGGTTGATGACATAGCGTGTTTATATTGGCAAAAACAATACTGAGCTTCACGGAAATGTTAAATGTTAAAATTCCTTTTTTACTTTTTATTTTTTGGAGAGAAGCCTTGCTATGTTGCCCAGGTTGGCCTCAAACTCCTGACCTCAAGTGATCCTCCCATTTCAACCTCCTAAGTAGCTGAAACTACAGGTGTGTGCCACCATGCCCAGCTAAAATATCTTATACTAAGTTAAAAAAAAAAATATATATATATATATATAACCATTCTGAAATTATGACAATAGAGAATTCATTTACCTATGCTATCAATTTTCTATAAATTTTTAATGATTTTTTCTTTTTTAGCATTTCTAAATTTATTTTACACTGTTGTAACATTGACTGAAAGTTGAAAAATCACTCACTGTTCCATCACTTCAACCAATAATTTGTTTTCACTTTTCTATAGTACGTTCCAGGCTCTCTCTGTTTATTTACGCGTGTAATTTTTATGTAGCTGTGTCTCAGAGCTGACGCATGTTTTGGGCCCCTGCTTCTTTAAATAGTGTCACATTACACCTGGGAGTGGTACTCAGGGCATGTGCTCCGGGTATTATACTTGGGAGTTGTCCCTGCTGTTGCCTCATAATCTTTGTAAATGACCATTTATAATAATTATGCAATATTCTACCAAGCTGATATATATATATGTGTGATTTTCTTTTTTAAAAAACTAATTTACAAAGTTGTCCCAGGACAGCCCAATCCTTCGTTGCTTACTTTATGTAATTTACAGGCTCCAGAAAGAAACAAAACCCGCATCTGCCACAAAAATTCACCCAACTGCCATTGGATCTTTGGGCAAAGCCTTCCTTGCCTTCTCTTTGGGATAAAGATGGCTTTGGGAAAGTGAATACTTTTAATCCCTAACATCTATATTGCTAATTGGTTTTATCGGCTGACTCCTCTCTCCGCATAGGAAGATTAGGGAAGAGGGGAATGCTGGGTGGGGGTGGGATGGGAAGAAATGAAGCAGAAAGAGATGGACAGGTGACATAAGCACCAAAGATAAATGCCTGCTTCAAAATGTTTCCTAGGGTTACTTCTGAGCACTGTTCCCTTGAAGACTTTAGGGGCATCTGTTATCATTGTCTGCATTTTCAGATGGAAAATAGAAGTCACTGAGGCTAAGTGACCAATCAAAGGTCAAATGACAGTGAGTGGTGGAGCCAGCGTGAGGATTCCTGTCTGTTGGCTTTTTGTATTGGAGTGTTTTCTCTCATCAGCGCCTCTGCAGCCACTCATCAGCACCACTTTGACTCTCACAGTTGGGTGAGCTCCATAAAGCAGGCCAGGAAAACCTCCCAAGGGTCAGGTCACCGGCAGTTTATGGGACAATGCTCTGCTGCTGCTCCCAGTCACTACCCTTCACACTAAAACAGAAAACCAGGCTACTCCAGAGTTACAGGGTATCTATCCCCTTCCTTTTGGGGATAAACTCAACCTCCTCCTATGCCCATCCCCAAGCCCAGCCAGTAGAAAATAATGGAATAGTGTGTGACCTTTATGGGCCCCTCTGAGGTAGGAAAATGTATGTGGCAAGGTAGTCAGTCTAGTGTGAAGCACAGGGGCTGTGGAATCAGCTCAGTGGGTTTGATGCCGGGTTCCAGCCCCACGGCTGCTGCTAGCCCATTTAGTGCCTTTGTTCATGTTAGAGGAAGGTGTCCCCTCTAGTGGGTGCAGCCCTGCCAGCATGTGGCTGGGCAAGTGAAACACAGGCTGGATTTTGGCCTCTATTTATTCCTTTGGCTGCCAGTGCCTTTGGGGCAGTGAGTGACTTACGCAACTCTATGTAAGTGCCCTATCCAGACTTTACTATTGGTCAACCTGAGCAGGTTGCTTGACCTTTCTGAGCCTTGGTTTCCCCATCTGTAAAACAGACAAAATAACAGTACCTACTTCGAGGGTTGGCAGGAGGTTAAATGAGATCGTGAGTGTAAAATGCAAGGACGGTGCCCTGTGAATAGTAAGCCAGTGTTCTATAAAATGGCAGCTGTTATTACTAGCTGTTACAGTTATGGCTTGGCTTTATAAAACAAGTAAAGCCTATACTTTTTAATACTCTGTTGAGGAGCTTGATTTGCCTAGACACGCATTTTGTAAATGGTGGGCAATTATGAAAAAGAGAAGCAAGATTCATAATAGATTATTTGTTACATTTTAATACAAATGTCATTATGATTCTTTTTGGTTGCACCATCTGAAGTAGGCATATCTGATATGGAATTTCTAATTACATGTTTTGTGCAAGAGAGAATCATTTATAAGTTCACACCCTGACACACCCATGCCCCTGGAGAAAACTTCAAATTTTGTGCGATGTCTTGGGCATTGGGACAGACAACTTCATTCAAGTTATTATTTGGTAAATTCTTGTTCTGTTTCCTGAGTAGTAGGATGAGGGATACAAATGAATAATTCAGAAGCAAACACTGAGGAATGTCTGATTTGCATAGGCTCGTAAATGAGCCTCCTAAACTGGGTTTTAAAAGAAAAAAAAAAGTGCTCTCGGATAGTTCTCAGGCCAAGTGAGGTCCCAGCGTGTTTGGTCGGCAGCTCTGCTGTCCACCCCACCAGGACCCGATATACTGTATTCTATTATTTAATTATCCTGGTTGGAAGGGGACATATATAATTTAGCCCTGGGAGCTTTAAAAAAATTCTTGACAATTAATAAATAGAATAGTCTTTTGTGTGATTTTAAAGTCACCGGAGGGCAGACATAAATTGTCAACTTACCTAAAAGAGAAACACTTGCCTTTTCTAGAGAGGCTCACATTGTCTTCCAGGGAGTGCATCATCCATAATTTAGCATAACTGCCTTGAAAATAAGTCTATAATCCTTAAATAACTCCGTGGGTCTCTTGCCTGGAGTCTTCCTTTCAACTTCTTTCATAGAAGAATTTATAATCAAATAATAACACTGATTTTAAAACAAGCAACCATACACACATCACTCAAGAACTTACTTAAGGTTTTGGGGGAGCCATTTCATTCACCAATCAAAATGAAGCAGCAACAACAGCAAAAGTCATCATGGTAAAACTTTAACTGAGGAGAGCACCTAAGGACTCGGTGACTCAGTGTTAAATGGATGGGAAGTCAGGTCATTTCCAATTATTGTGGCCTTTTACTTCCTGTTTCTCAGGATCAAATGAGAAAGGAGTGAGTCAGGAGGTGGGCATGATAACCCTGTATATCTCTGTGGCAGGGTGCCCTATTGTGCCTCAATGCCATTCAGACAGGAGCTGTTTATAGATGGTGACTCCTTCAGGTAACTGCTTGCAGAAGTGAATGCTTGGGAGAGTTCGGTTTTTGAGCAGAAGAAGAGAAGAATTTTGTGTCTGGCCTGGGAGAGAGATGGTGGAGGGCGGATAAAGAAAATAGAAGGGGAAGGCATAAAGTCCCATCTATTTTGCTCCCCCTCCCCACCCCCCAACACTCATACAGGTTCACACTGGCTGGAGGGGTTTCTCCAGAGCCCAAACCAAAGCACCTAGTTTGCAAGCTTGCAGCTTTGGGAATCTAGACGACATGCGCAGCATTGGGTGGTGATAGGGCCAGTCTTCCCACCTCTACCTTGCTTCCAAAGGCAAGGCGGCTTTTGTATTTAGACTCAGGGCAGCCACAAGCATTCCTTCTTAAGTAGCCCATCATTATAATTCAGCACGAATGTCAGTGTGACTTGTTGCCACTCACAGGCTGCGTCTGGTGAGGTCTGGGCTATTTTGGTTTTAGAAATAATTTATAAATCATTTAGAAATATTTATAAATGACTTTAATGTACATTACACTATCTCATTTAATCCTCCCAATGACCTTAAGGAGAGTACTACTGAAGAGACAGGGACTCAATGGCCTTTTTTTTTTTTTTGAGCTGGGGTCTTGCTCCGTCACTCAGACTGGAGTGCAGTGGCGCGATCTCAGCTCACTGCAACCTCCACCTCCCGGGTTCAAGCAATTCGCCTGCCTCAGTCTCCCAAGTAGCTGGGACTACAGTCGTGTACCACCACGCCCAGCTAATTTTTGTATATTTTTAGTAGAGATGTTGGCTAGGCTGGTCTTGAACTCCTGACCTCAAGTGATCCACTCGCCTCGGCCTCCCATCGTGCTGAGATTATAGGCATGAGCCATCGCGCCTGGCCTGGTTATAAGTCTCAGGGTGACAGAGGTGGTGTGGGCTGAGCTGGGGCAGGGACTCAGGTCCTCCAGGAGACCTGCACGTAACAGGTGACCAGTGCACCCTAAAGCCACCTGATGAGCACCGCCTCGTGCCACAAGAACACTTTCTAGCCAGTGTTTTACATATTTCTTGGATCTCTGGGAATTGCCAGTAGACAGAGTATGATGCTGCGTATTGGTGATTATGAATGCTGTTGGCCATGGGTGTTAGATGTCATCATGTGCCAGGCCCCTGAAGAACACAATCTGTTCACATAGTTCCTCTAAAACTTCGTTTTCAAAACAGGTCTCATCTTTCCTTACTTCTGCCAGCGTTCTCATTCTTGATTTTACATTTGGAGAACAGAGAATCTAGACAAAATTAAGAAGAAATTGAACATTGAAAAAAAATCAATAAAATAAAATCCTGAACCCAAGAATGATCAAATTTTACTTTAAAATTTAACTCAAAAGGGATAGTTGTTCTGGCCTTCAGACATGCTTTGTAAGAAAAAAAAAGGATGGTTGTTTATGCCGTGATGGGCTAATTGAATAGGTAAACATGTGAGGAATCCTTATTTTATTTCTTACGCTAAAATGAGAATCCCTGTAAATTGGAATGTAGTCTTATCTTATCGAAAGGTTTCACTGTTCAGCTCTGCTTACCCATCAGAATCACATGGGAAATGGCAAATCACAGAGGCCCAAGCTCAACCCTATTCCTACCGAATAGAATCTCTGGAGGTGAAGCTCTGTTTTAAAATTTTCCCAACTGGTTCTGATGCGTACCAGAGTTAAGAATCAACCAGCACACTGAACTCGCAATTTTAGCAAAAACCCAAGGAACCCAGGGGCCTATGCAGAAAGCAGGAAATGCCCTCTAGTGGCCAAAAGACGCCATCATCCATTCTCCATGCTCTTGGGCCCTGGGACCCATGGCAGAGTTAGAGAGGTGGCAACAAAAGTTCCAGTTGTAAACTACAGTATAATCCACTGATTCCACCAATATGCCCCTAAAAGTTAAACTGTAAGACCCATGAGGGCAGGACTCACTTGTTCTTGTCTTGCCCATGAGGGTGCCTGGCATAATGTCTGACCCATTGTGATGGAAATCCTAGAATTAAGGCTCAATTTTATGTGTTGCCTATTAAGCCTCAATTTTACATGTTGCCTTGACATATATGGTAAAATCAGGAGGGTATCAAATGGCCTAACTGCAAGTTTCTTCTCGCCTGTTCTGCTCCCATGAACAAGGTCCCCTAGCCAAATAGCCCTCCTTATCAAATGAACCAGACAGAGTTCCTGTTTATCCCGTACTAGTGGGTTCTCTGCCTGCTTAGGGAATTATTCAAACAAGTCAATCACTTCCTCCCACAGGAACTAGGCCACCTCACCCCCTTGATACTACAAATCCTGCCTCCATGGCACTTGGCTCTTCACTCTGGCCCTGAGTGCAACCCTGTGTGGCTCTGCATGGCATGGGGTATCTTCCTCCCCCGGGCTGTGACTTCATGTGACTAACAAACTACTATCAATCTCAACTGTCTAGTAGTGAGCTGTTGTGTGTTCAGCTATCCCCATGATCCTGGAGTGAAAATTGCTCTCACCAAAGAGGAGGCAATCAAAACATCCATAGCAAGTGTTTTGTAAATATTTGTTAAATGAATGAATGGGACCAAAGGGCTGTTGACAAGTTTAAATACCTTTATTTTATTGATTTATTGTCAATTTTCATAAACTTTCAAAGTGATCTTAGGCACAAATGAACAATTCAATGAATATATTCATAGAACGTTAAGGCTGGAAGATATCTTAGAAATCTTCAGGATTAACCTTCTTGTTTTATTTCTAAGACAACTATTGCTCAGACAAGATCATGAATTCCTCAAGGACAGTGTCTATATTTTATTTATTTTTGTATTCCCTTGGCTCATCACAGAACTGGTGTACAGTACATATTTGATAAATGAATAAACAAGGATTAAGTGAATTTCCCAGGAGTACATGGTAGGCAATGACACCAACAAGGATTTAATTCCAGAATTAAACAGATATTTGTCAAATGTCTTCTGTGAGCCAGGTGCAGTGACTCACACCTGTAATGCCAACACTTTGGGAGGCTGAGGCAGCAGGACTGTTAAGCTCAGAAGTTCGAGACCAGCCTGGGCAATATAGTGAGATCCTGTCTCTACAAAAAAAAAAAATTTTTTTTTAATTAGTTGGGCATGGTGATGCATTCCTCTAGTCCCAGCCCCCAGCCACTGGGGAGGCTGAAGCAAGAGGATTGCTTGAGCCTGGGAGTATGAGGTTGTGGTGAGCTAGGATCACACCAGTGCACTCCAGCCTGGGTGACAGAGTGAGATCCTGTCTGAAAAAAAAAAAAAAAAAATCTTCTGTGAGATACAGTATCTTGCTAGGTACTCTCTGAGAATGTAACTAGGACTCCAGGCAAGGGCTACAAAAATGAGAAAGACACAGTCCTTACCCTCAAAGAACAGACACTCTGCAGCTGTGCTGTCCAATACTGTAGCTTCTAGTGACATGAGGCTATTTAAAACAAAATTAATTAGAATTAAAAATCCAGTTCCTCAGTTAAATTAGTCACATTTCAAGTATTCAATGGCTAAATGGTGGCTGGTGGCTACCATATTGAACAACAGAGCTATAGAATATTTTGATTGCTGTGGAAAGTTGTATGGGATAGCATTGCTATAGAGAGAAAAATGTCATGAACCTGAAGCCATAATAGAAGGCAGAAGATGATAACAGAGGTACAAATTAATTGCCATGGGGTCAGAGAGGATTGTTTCAGAAAGTCCCCACATTATTCCAAGTTTTCTGAAGACAGGGACTCCTAGCACTTAGCATAATGCCTGACTTGTAGAAGATGCTCAACTCATTTATTGAATGAAAATAAACAACTTATAGCAGTAGTGCTTTTTTCGTAACATTTCAAAAACAGGGGAGTATAGAGAATATATGGCCATCATCAATGTATCCACAGACCAACTTTATAAAATTTTAACATTTTGCTATATTTGTTTCAAATATAGAAAAGTATGTACATATTCCCTTAAAACAAATATAAGATCTGAAACAAATATATACTACAATTTATCTATTCTACTTTAAATGGAAATGTATCCTATTTCCAGTTTTTACAATTACCAATAAAGCCATAAGGAACATTCTCATAAGTGTTTTTTATAGAAACATTCAGAGTTTATTCCCAGAAGTAGCATTGCTAGGTCTGAGGTTATATGAATCTTCAACTATTCTAAACATTGACAAGTTGATTTCCAAGGGGATTAACCAATATATAGTCCCATCAGCATTGTATGAATGTTCTCATTGTTCTGCATTCTTGTCAACACTCAGTATTGTCAGGCTTTTATTCTTTGCCAATCTGATAAAGTGAAAAGATTCACTGAAGTATTTCCTAGGATGTTAAAGACATAAGAACAAGGCAAAAAACCAAAAACAACAACAACAACAAAACTACCCTGTTATAATCCTGGCATTGGGGTATGAGAGAAATAACAGAGTTATTTGCTTTTCATGTTGTAATGAGAAAATTGGCACTAGGTCCAAAGTGGTGACTGACCTTCAAGATAAGCAAAACTGCAAGAAGAGTATAAGTTTTATCATGCTCTGCCTGTTTGCCACTACTAGGCATAGGCCAGGACACTTTTAAATAGAATTGGGAAATCAGAATATTTTCAGCATGTTTGCAGTGTGTTATACATTCTTCCTAATGTAAACATAATTTATTTCCTCATGTGTCTCATTAAATGCACCCCAGGAGAAAATATTCACAAACTATGCATCCAACAAAGGACTAATATCCAGAATCTGCAAGGAACTCAAACAAATCAGCAAGAAAAAACACAAATAATCCCATTAAAAGTGGGCAAAAGAACATGAATAGAAAATTCTCAAAAGAAGATGCACAGTCAATAAACATATGAATAAATGCTCAACATCAGTAATGATCAGGCAGATGCAAATTAAAACCACAATGAGATACCATGTTACTCCTGCAAGAATGGCCATAATTTAAAAAGTGAAAAAACCATAGATGTTGACATGGATGTGGTGAAAAGGGAACACTTTTACCCTGCTGGTGGGAATGTAAATTAGTACAACCACTATGGAAACCGGTGTGGAGATTCCTTAAAGAACTGAAAGTAGAACTACCATTCGATCCAGCAATCCCACTACTGCATATCTACCCAGAGGAACATAAGTTATTATATGAAAAAGACACATGCACCTGCATGTTTATAGCAACACAATTCGCAATTGCAAATATATGGAACCAGCGTAAGTGCCAATTAACCAACAAGTGGATAAAGAAAATGTGGTATAAATATACCATGGAATACTACTCAGCCATAAAAAGGGCAACTTGGATGGAGCTGGAGGCCATTATTCTAAGTGGAGTAACTCAGGAATGGAAAACCAAATACCGTATGTTCCCACCTATAAGTGGGAGCTAAGCTATGAGGATGCAAAGGCATAAGAATGATATAATGAACTTCGGGGATTCGAGGAGGAAAGCTGAGAGGGGGATGAGGAATAAAAGATGATATATAGGGTATAGTATACAGTTCAGGTGATGGGTGCACCAAAATCTCAGAAATCAACATTAAATAACTTATCCATGTAACCAAAACAACCCGTACCTGAAAAACTATTGAAATAAAAACAAAAATAAAAATAACTTAAAAATTTAAAAATGCACCCCAGTCTCCCTAGCTTTCCACTTCTTTGTCTTAAGCCAATTTCTGGTGGAAAAAATTATTGGAAAGTGAGGAGCTGTATGAATTAGATATGTATTGGTGGGAAACCTTAGCCATCTGAAGGACTGTCAGCTTAACAAGAGGCAAGGTAGCATGTGTAGACCATATCTTGTAATATTTGCTTACGGCTAATTCTTGTAAATACTTTAAATGCTTGAAGCCCAGAAAAATAATCCTATAATTTAGGAACATATTACTATTTCATCTTGCAGAGATTTTCCAGTATGATTCTAGCTAATACCTGAGGAGCTAAAATGAACCTGTTTAGAAGGACTTTAGAGCCTGGGGCAGTGGGAAACACCCATGGCTCCACTTCCCCAAGTGGTTCTTTGATGGAAACAAAGTATTTCTTAGCAACCTTTCATTATAGCTGGCTTACTCATGGGAAATTTGAGATAATGCCAATTTTACCTCTGTGAAATCCTTCTTGGAGAAATAACCTGAAATTTTATTAAAGGGATACAAGATCTGAGAATGTTTTCCTTGCTTCTTCATGTGAACTATAGAGTTGTGGCTGAGAAAGCAGATCAGCTGGACTCTGGGCAGCCAACTGAGATCTACAGAAATAATTTAGCTCGAAGTTCAGATGAACCAATTGTGTTCCATTTGCTAATCTGAATCCAGTCCTTGGTTTTCTTTTTCAGAAAGCAAGGTTTATGTCACCTATGGTGTTCTTTCCTGAAACCTATTTGTGGATGACAGCGTTTAGGAAAACTGTCTTCTTAGAATAATCAGCCTTGCTCATTCAAGAGAGCTGCTTGTCAATTTCCTCCATGACTTTTAGTTTGCAATGAAACGGCTGCTTCCACAGTAGAGCAGATGACTGTGAAAAGCTAATAGACATTTTTCTAAGGCGACAAAAAGAAAAAATTTATTTATGGTTCCTATGGAGAAACATGCAATCTAGGTGTTACATCTATAAATGAAAAGCTAAAAATGTGGTATTAAAGGGTTTTGACTGCGGTTAAACAAGTTAGGTCCAAATCTTTTTCCCCCTGCCATTGAGTGGTTTATCTTTTTTGTGTCTTTATTTCCTCATCTGTATAATGGGGGAAAGTTGTTCTAAGGACTGTATGAGATTCATTAATTCAACAAACATTTATTAAATGCCTTCTACTGGCTAGCATTTATCCCAGGTGCTGAGGATACAGTGGAAAATAAATTAATGTCCCCATTCTCGCAGACTTCTATTCTCGTAGGGGAAATGGGTCACAGTAACAAATAAATGAACAATATCATTGTAATTGCCTTGGAAGGGCACTGCTTTAGAAGGGGTAGTCTGGGAAGACCTTTTTGAGAAGGTGACACCTAAGCTGAGGTATAAATGATGAGAAGGAACCAGCTCTGTGAAGAAGGTGGGGTAGGGAGAGAGGGGTTCGGGCAGGGGGAAGAGGAGGATAATGGCCTGAAGCTGGATCTGACTTGGCATGCTCAGGAAACAGGAAGAAGGCTGGTATGGCTAGAGTGGTATAAGATGAAGTAGAGAAAGACATCCAGACCATCATGAGGAGTATGAGTTTCTTTTTACATGCAAGGGGAAGCCATTAAAGTGTTTATGTTCTTGTTGTTTATTTTTAGCATACATACTTGAGGTGTATAATATGATGTCTCGATATACATAGTGAAATGATTACTACAGTCAAATAAATTTACATATCCATCAACTTCCGTAATTACCCCAGTGTCTGTGTGTGTTAAGGGCACCTAAAATCTATCTCACTTAAATGCAGAATCTTTTTTTTTTAAAGTAGAATAAACAAAAACAGAGTAAAACTGTTGTTACTACGGGTGAGGAGGGGGAGGAAATGAAGAGGTCAAAGATTACAACTTTGCAGTTAGGTAGGGTGAATCTAGAGATCTAATGTATAGTATGATGATTATAGTTAATAATATCGTATTGTATACTGAAAATTTGCCAAGAGTGTAGATGCAAGTATTCCTCGTCCCCTGAATCGATTTAGTACCTGCATTTGAATAGTGAGGCATACTGCGTCATCTAACTCCACTTGATTTCTGAATTTTGAATAGGGATTAGTGAGAGTTTACATATTGAGGTGTTTATCAAAAAATTATTTTACTTTATTTTGTTCCTAATGCTCAAATATCAGAGAAAAGAGCTGGATAGTGAGGGATTCATTCCAGAAACTTATTTGTATCTATTGGGTTCCCTGAAATAGAGTTAGGATGCCAATTATATTGAATATTGCATAAATGAATAAAGCAGTTATTATAAACTACATTTTAAGAGAAAAGTTGAAAAATGTCCACAATGTGTTGTAAAATAAGGAAAGTGGGCCAGTCCTGTAATCCCAGGACTTTGGGAGGCCGAGGTGGGAGGATAGCTTGAGTCCAGGAGTTCAAGATCAGCCTGAGCAATGTAGTGGGACCCCGTCTCTACAATTAAAAAAAAAAAAATTCGCCAGGTGTGGTGAGGCACACCTGTAGTCTCAGCTAACTGGGAGGCTGAGATGGGAGAAACTCTTGAGCCTGGGAGGTCGAGGTTGCAGTGAGCCATGATTTTGCGCCACTGCACTCAGCCTGGGTGACAGAGTGAGATCCTGTATCAAAAAAAGAGAAGAAAAGAAATAAAGAAAAAGAAAAGTAGGTAACAAAGCAGGATTTAAAATTGCCCTGAGTGCCACAGAGAAGAACTGTGACATATCCATGATCATCTCAGTCATAGTAGTTCTTCCAAGATAGGCAGGACTCAGCCACTTTGGGCTAATGAGGCCTGAGGAGAGCCTTCTTAGGGTCTTCAAAAAAGAAACTATGGATAACCAATCTCTTCTGCCCTGGCTGGGTGTAAACAAAGAGGCATACAGCTTGACTGCTGCTGCAGCCATGAGGGAGGGAGAAACTACTCAAAGAATGAAGCCCATATCGTGTCAAGTATTATGCAGAAACAGAGAAGACCTGCTTTCTCCATGACACCATAAGGCATCTAGACTGCAAGTTAGACAATAGAATATTATCAGCCATTAAAAAGGAAATTCTGCCATTTGCAACAACATAGATGAAACTAGAAGATATTATGCCAGCAGAAATAAGCCAGACACAGAAAGACAAATACTACATGATCTCACTTATACCTGGAATCTAAAAAAGTTGCACTCATAGAAACAGAGAGTAGAAGAGTGGTGACCGGGGCTGGGGATGGGGGAAATGAGGTGACATTGGTCAAAGGGTGCAAACTTTCAGTTATAAGATGAATTTATATCCTGGGCACCCAATGGTGACTATACTTAATAATAATATATTACATACTTGAAATTTGCTAAGAGAGTAGCTCTTAAGTGTTCTCACCACACATAAAAAATACAACTATATTAAGTAATTGTGTTAGCCTATTCTTGCATTTCTATAAAGGAATATCTGAGACTGGGTAATTTATTTTAAAAAGAGATTTAATTGGCTCTATGTTCTGTAGGCTGTACAGGAAGCATGGTGCCAGCATCTGCCTCTGGTGAGGCCTCAGGGAGCTTCCAATCATGGTGGAAGATCAAAGGGAGAGCCAGCACATCACATGGTGAGAACAGGAGCGTGAGAGAGATTGAGGGAGGTGCCACACTCTTTTAAACAACCAGATCTCACATGAACTCAGGGCGAGAATTCACTCATTATTGTGAGGAGGGCACCAAGCCACTGAAGAGGGATCTGCTGCCATGAACCAAACACCTCCCACTAGGCCCCATCTCCAACACTGGGGCTCACACTTCAACATGAGGTTTGGGCCAGGTGTGGCGGCTCACACCTGTAATCCCAGAATTTTGGGAGGTTGAGACAGGTGGATCACTTGAGGTCAGGAGCTCAAGACCAGCCTGGCCAACATAGTGAAATGCCATAGCTACTAAAAATACAAAAATTACCCAGATGTTGTGGCATGTGCCTGTAATCCCAGCTACTCCGGAGGCTGAGACAGGAAAATCACTTGAACCTGGGAGTCGGAGGTTGCAGTGATGAGATCGTGCCACTGCACTCCAGCCTGGGCAACAGAGCAAGACTCCGTCTCAAACAAACAAACAAGCAAACAAAAACACTTGTGATTTGGAGGGGACATACACCCAAACCATATCAGTAATGGATATGTGAATTAGCTTGATTGGGGTAATCATTTCACAGTATATATGTATATCAAAACATTACATTGTACACCTTAAATAAATTCAATATTTACTTGTCAATTATACCTCAATAAACTTGGTAGGCAAAGTCTACATATCCATATAGAAAAAGCTAGAAAGCTATATCAAAATATTAACCATGGTAATGTCTGATACCTCTGAGTTGTGAGGACTGGGAAGGATGGTTGAGACAAGAGGAGAAGGTAGTATTGGTCATTTCAGAGAGAATGAGAAGAATAAATGTAATAGGATTGGCAAGCAGAGCCAAGGGTCCCCTTGACATTCAAACTTATGGAATTCTCAGTGGTTCCCTCTAGATTTCAAATGATCACAGAAGCAAGCCCTAAAAGAGAGTCTGATCTGGAATATTTGGGTAAAGTTCTTCTGACCTAAAAACAAGACAAAGGGAAACATCTGATTTTAGGTATTAAGGAATCAAATGCCTGCTGCAGGCAGTGGCTCACGCCTATAATCCCAGCACTTTGGGAGGCCGAGGCGGATGGATCATCTGAGGCCAGGAGTTCGGGACCAGCCTGGCCAACATGGAGAAACCCTGTCTCTATTAAAAATACAAAAATTAGCCGGGCTGGGTGGCATGTGCCTGTAATCCCAGCTACTTGGGAGGCTGAGGCAGGAGAATCGTTTGAACCTGGGAGGTGGAGGTTGCAGTGAGCTGAGATCGTGCCATTGCACTCCATCCTGGGCAACAAGAGTGAAACTCCGTCTCAAGAAAAAAAAAAAAAAAGGAACCAAATGCCAAAGAATATGCAGGAAATAACCTAATTTACTTCTTCTAATAGGTAGACAACTCTATGAAGTTCAATGCCAAGCCACCTGGCCACTGAGCATGTCAGCAACTACACTAATAGATTTTTAGAGCAGTGTTGGTTACACTTGTTTTTGACCACAACCTTCAGTAAGAAATGCACTTTACACTGTGACACACAAGCAGTGGTGTGCTAGAGCCAGCTTATGTGGGCTCATGAAAGCAGATTGTTATGTTTTTATAAATTGTGAGCCACTATTAAATACCATCATTATTAAAAATTTGGCTAGGCATGGTGGCTCACGCTTATAATCACAGCACTTTGGGAGGCTGAGATGGGAGAATTGCTTGAGCCCAGGAGTTCGAGACCAGCCTGGGCAACATAGTGAGACCCTGTCTCTACAAAAAATAATAAAATGTGTAAATAAATTATAGAAAGTTAAAATTAAGCAATGTTAAAAACAAATAATAATTACTCAAAACTCATCATTTCTTAATTATTGTAATACATTTTCCTGTCATCTCTATTCTTGCAGTTACGTCTCTCCTATCTGAGTGGTAGAAATGCCATATGATGATGTGCTAGGCAGGGCACAGTGGCTCACGCCTGTAATCCCAGCACTTTGGGAGGCCAAAGCAAGTGGATCACTTGAGGCCAGGAGTTCGAGACCAGCCTGGCTAACATGGTGAAATTCTGTCTCTACTAAAAATACAAAAACTAGGCAGGCATGGTGGTACACGCCTGTAATTCCAGCTATTTGGGTGGCTGAGACATGAGAATCACTTGAACCCGAGAGGTGGAGGTTGCAGTGAGCCAACATAGCACTGCTGCACTCCCGCCCGGGCAACAGAGAGAGACTCTGTCTCAAAACAAGTAATAATATAAATAAATAAATATGTGCTACTACTGCATTTCTTTCCAACTCTGACTCCTGTGATATCACAGTGGTAGTCTGAAATAACCATGGTGGGAATATTTATATATACCACAGAAACTGGCCAACATGGCCGGGCGTGGTGGCTCATGCCTGTAATCCCAGCACTTTGGGAGGCTAAGCCAGACAGATCACCTGAGGTCAGGAGTTCAAGACTAGCCTGGCCAACATGGCGAAACCCGTCTCTACTAAAAATACAAAAATTAGCAGGGCACAGTGGCACATGCCTCTAATCCCAGCTACTTGGGAGGCTGAGGCAGGAGAATCACTTGAACCTGGGAGGCGGAGGTTGCAGTGAGCCGAGATCACACCACTGCACTCCTACCTGGGCGATAGAGTGAGACTCCATCTCAAAAAAAAAAAAAAAAGAAAAGAAAAAAAAGAAACTGGCAAACACTATAAATCAGGGCTTGATTTCTTGATTTATTGTTTTGTTGATCCTCTATTCATGAAAGTGAAGAAAACAACAACGCAGATTAAATTTAAAAGTGTCTATAACTGTTACATTGTGAATAGCACAAAAAATTGAGGAAATACTCTTCTAATATTTGAAAACTATTATCCAGTTCAACAAAGATTTCTCCATGTCATTGATAAACTAGTGAAGTTCCGAAATGTCTTCATTGTTTCACTTTCATCTTATTTGTTAATGTAAATTAAAATATCAATTAACACTTACACCAGAATACACTCATTCATCAATAATGTGAGGGACTTCTTTGCTGAATTTGATAGATATCAAGCATTTATTTGTAGTCTGATTTTCTCAAATTAGAGTTGAATTGTAACCACAGATTGGCTATGAATGCGAAAGTTTGGCAAAAGTCAATGGCTACTTCAAGGAGAACTACAAACCACTGCTCAATGAAATAAAAGAGGATACAAACAAATGGAAGAACATTCCATGCTCATGGGTAGGAAGAATCAATATCGTGAAAATGGCCACACTGCCCAAGGTAATTTATAGATTCAATGCCATCCCCATCAAGCTATCAATAACTTTCTTCACAGAATTGGAAAAAACTACTTTCAAGTTCATATGGAACCAAAAAAGAGCCCGCATCACCAATTCAATCCTAAGCCAAAAGAACAAAGCTGGAGGCATCACACTACCTGACTTCAAACTATACTACAAGGCTACAGTAAACAAAACAGCATGGTACTGGTACCAAAACAGAGATATAGATCAATGGAACAGAACAGAGCCCTCAGAAATAACGCCGCATATCTACAACTATTTGATCTTTGACAAACCTGAGAAAAACAAGCAATGGGGAAAGGATTCCCTATTTAATAAATGGTGCTGGGAAAACTGGCTAGCCATATGTAGAAAGCTGAAACTGGATCCCTTCCTTACACCTTATACAAAAATTAATTTAAGATGGATTAAAGACTTAAACGTTAGACCTAAAACCGTAAAATCCCTAGAAGAAAACCTAGGCATTACCATTCAGGACATAGGCATGGGCAAGGACTTCATGTCTAAAACACCAAAAGCAATGGCAACAAAAGCCAAAATTGACAAATGGGATCTAATTAAACTAAAGAGCTTCTGCACAGCAAAAGAAACTACCATCAGAGTGAACAGGCAACCTACAAAATGGGAGAAAATTTTCGCAACCTACTCATCTGACAAAGGGCTAATATCCAGAATCTACAATGAACTCAAAACAAATTTACAAGAAAAAAACAAACAACCCCATCAAGAAGTGGGTGAAGGACATGAACAGACACTTATCAAAAGAAGACATTTATGCAGCCAAAAGACACATGAAAACATGCTCATCCTCACTGGCCATCAGAGAAATGCAAATCAAAACCAAAATGAGATAGCATCTCACACCAGTTAGAATGGCAACCATTAAAAAGTGAGGAAAAAACAGGTGCTGGAGAGGATGTGGAGAAATAGGAACACTTTTACACTGTTGGTGGGACTGTAAACTAGTTCAACCCTTGTGGAAGTCAGTGTGGCGATTCCTCAGGGATCTAGAACTAGAAATACCATTTGACCCAGCCATCCCATTACTGGGTATATACCGAAAGGACTATAAATCATGCTGCTATAAAGACACATGCACACATATGTTTATTGTGGCACTACTCACAATAGCAAATACTTGGAACCAACCCAAATGTCCAACAATGATAGACTGGATTAAGAAAATGTGGCACATATACACCATGGAATACGATGCAGCCATAAACAAGGATGAGTTCATGTCCTTTGCAGGGACATGGATGAAATTGGAAATCATCATTCTCAGTAAACTATCGCAAGGACAAAAAACCAAACACCGCATGTTCTCACTCATAGATGGGAATTGAACAATGAGAACACATGGACACAGGAAGGGGAACATCACACTCTGGGGACTGTAGTGGGGTGGGGGAAGCAGGGAGGGATAGCATTAGGAGATATACCTAATGCTAAATGACGAGTTAATGGGTGCAGCACACCAGCATGGCACATGTATACATATGTAACTAACCTGCACATTGTGCACATGTACCCTAAAACTTAAAGTATAATTTAAAAAATGGCTATACGAAATGTACAATGATTTATTATTATGTATTTATTATTTATTTATAAATTTTAGCCACATACCCCTTATATCAGTAAAATATGTAATAAATTTATACAGATATTTACATATATACATACCTCTTCTCCCAGGGAGACAGTTGTTAAACATTTCAGCACATCACTACCAAAACACACATAGGCATAAACAACTTAAATAAAGAATTTCATAAAATAATACTTTATTAATATATTAATTTATTACTATATATGATGCCCTCTGATATCTTATATTCTATCTCATTAAAAATACATATCCATGTTGCAATGTTCTAAATTGATGTCATGACTAAAGGTTTATGAGCCACAGTTTAGAAAACCCTGATTTAGAGGTTTTTAACTGCAGGTTCTGAAGTTATTTTTTGAAGAGATGCTCAGAGGGATGGTGATCAAGTGTCCTTCTTATATTCAGAGCTAAACAACAATAGAAACTCAAGAAATATGAAGCAGACAAATTTTTTAAAACACACATGAAGTTAGAATTGGAAATCCAAAAGCTAGACTTTACCATACCTAGCATAAAGACAAATTATGCAGCTGTGTTATGGTTCTAATAGTGTATGCCTGTATTTCAACTTTTCCTATAAAGACCTTTACTATAATTAAAAGCCTGTCACCCTTAATGATTCTTACATCTTGATTACTTACATCTATGGAGGTGAACATTATTGTGGATAATTTTTCAAATGTCATTATCTGCCCAAGTAGGTCAAGGACATTACTGACATACACACCATGCCTGTATTTGGTAAAAGAGAATTCAACATTTATAGAAAATGACAGTTGGTTTCCAAAAATAACTAAATGTGTTAGATATCCACAGATCATGAAAGGGATAAAGTGAATTAACCTTTTGCAGTTCACCCACATCAAGTAGATATTCTGTCACTAAATTCATGTGCAGTGCCTGCTAAAGAGGGCTCACCATTTTTGGAGTTTTAGACAAGTCCTGGGGAAAAAATTCATCCTAGCTTCCCTGGGCTGATATATGTCCTTTTGACAATGTTTACAAGAAGGCCTTTTTATGACTCCTGTCGCTGTAGCAACAGATAGCAAGCATAGACAAATGGGTTTAAACACAGGGGACTCACCTCTCAGGCTGCCCAAGGTCACGAAGGCAATGACAATTGAGCAGTGAAGACTCGCGCTGAAGGCTGAGAAGGCCCAGTTCTTCTGAATTTTCCCCAAATCTGCCTAGAAACCTTGATAGTGAACCTTTCTGACGGGAGGAATCATTTAAGAATCTAATGAAAAATGTGGGTTCTCCAGAAAAAGTCCTTCCTCAATAAACTGCCTACATTTCCAGGAGTTCCACAGCTCGTCCTAATGTCCATCCCCAGGTGAAAACCCCTGCTTTTGGATGAGGATCTTCCTCTCAGAGAATCTGCCAAGAAGGATGGCCAGGAAGATAGACGCTTCTGATAGTTTCAAAGGCCTCTAATCAAAGAATATAAACTTATGAGCATGGTGTGGTCCAGAATCAGCTCTATCAATTTCACCTATGCACACACATTACAATTCGCTGTCAAGAGCATCATTATTTTAAAAGTTAAGGACAACTGTGTACGCTTGGCTGCCTACAATTATTGGAAATAGGTAGAATATAAATACAGTAATAATAGTGGTCACTGCTTTCTATGGGTTCATTCATAGGAAAAGTTCACCTAAGATTTCCACAAGAAAATAAACTAGGCGAAAGTTTGCTATGAAAACCCCAGGGGCGGCTGGGCACAATGGCGCATGCCTGTAACCCCAACACTTTGGGAGGCCGAGTCCGGTGGATCACTTGAGCCCAGGAGTTTAAGACCATCCTGCACAACATGGTGAAACCTCATCTCTACAAAAAATACAAAAATTAGACAGACATGTTGGTGCACACTCGTAATTCCAGCTACTTGGGAGTCATTTAAAGCCAGAGGCAGAGATTGGAGATTACAGTGAGCTGAGATCATGCCACTGCACTCCAGCCCGGGTGACAGAGTGAGACACTGTCTAAAAAAAAAAAAAAAAAAAAAACAACAACAACAAAAAACAGAGAGAGAGAGAAAGAAAGAAAGAGAGAAAGCAAGCAAGCAAGAAAGCAGGAAGAAAGAAGGAAGGAAGGAAGGAAGGAAAGAAAGAAAGAGAGAGAAAGAAAGAGAAAAAGAAAGAAAGAGAAAAAGAAAGAAAGAGAAAGAAAGAAAGAAAAGAAAGAAAGAGAAAAAGAAAGAAAGGAAAGAAAAGAAAGAGAACCCAGAAGCATAGAAGAGACTATGGGATTCTACAAGGGATAAACATGAAGCAATGGAAGAGCCTTTGGACACTCCTTAATCTATCACTGCCCCTTGTCTTTGATATGGACAGTTGACATTTTCTACATTTTACATAAAGTGCTAGGCAACTGCAATTTCAAGACAAATCCTCAGTGTGTCATCTCTCCTTCTCCTCCCATACAGAAATATTGGGAGCTGGCACTGTCATGAATTCTAAGGTGAACCCTCAACTCTCCACAATTGGCCTAAGACTTATGATGGTCCATTCTCTACTATTCCTGCCCTCAATAGAAGATCTACAATATGAGGCAAACTAAAGGCCAACTTTCTAGCTTCAGGTTAACAAAATCACCTCAGGATGCAAGAATTTACACAGAGCAAAACATTTTTACAGTAGAAATCTTTGAGACCTCTTTGGCTGCCTTCATAAAACTGAGAAGAATCTAAGTTTAACAAGGCTTTCATTAAGAGACCCCAGATAACCTTAATAAACAGTTCACCTCAATTAGGAGGAAAAGCACAGAATAACTTAAGAACCAGAACACCCAATAGAAGAGCTATCATCTGGCTGGGCAGGGTGGCTCACGCCTGTAATCCCAGCAGTTTGGGAGACTGAGGTGGGTGGATCACCTGAGGTTGGGAGTTCAAGACCAACCTGGCCAACATGGTGAAACTCCATCTTTACTAAAAATACAAAAATTAGCAGGGTGTGGTGGTGTACGTCTGTAATCCCAGCTACTCAGGAGGCTGAGACACAAGAATCACTTGAGCCTGGGAGGTGAGATTGCAGTGAGCTGAGATCATGCCACTGCACTCTAGTCTGGGTGACAGAGAGAGACGCTGTCTCAAAAAAAAAAAAAAAGAAAAGAAAGGCTACCATCATTGTTCTTTGGTTCTGGCCTACTGATGCATGGTGACTTCCATTGTCTCTGGTTTGTTTGCATGTTATAACATTAAATAACCTTTTGGCACTAAATGAGCTTAACACTTTGAAAACTAAGACATTTTAGACTTCTAAATACGTTGCCCTACTGGTTGTAAACCACAAAGTACAATGAGTGATGGCCATCTCCCCTCTCACTTATTATTTGAAGTGTCATGTTTTGGTTCCAGTCCATGGATCCCAAGAAGGGTAGGAACCCTGTGGTAAATGGATATATCTGGGAAACACTAAGAAGAAATGCTAGTTGAAAAATATATGCCTTTTATCACGAATTCCTGTTTCTGAGGCTCTGGAATAATATGAAACACAACTGAACTTTTTATGCTATAAATACATTGGCTCTTTACATTTCCAAATGAATTTACCAATGAAAATGAACAAACAGCTTTACGAAAAGTTTTAAAGATTTTTCTCACACCTTCTATCTTTGTGCTTCCCTAGGAGTATTAAAGGTCGGTGAATACAATGAAGTATGAACAATGCAATGCAATGCTATCTGAAATCTGCTTTAAAACATTGAAGGAAAGAAAAATATGCATAGTGGATACATGAAACGATTGACAAATTGTAGATAATTGTGAAAGGTGGGTGACAGGCACATGGGAGCTCATCATGCTTTTGAATTTGTGTGAAATTAAATGTGTTTGCAAAATTTTTTACAAGTCAAAGCCATAAAGAATTATCATAAAATATCTCTTTAAACAGGCCAGATGTGGTGGCTCATGCCTATAATTCCAGCACTTTGGGAGGCTAAAGCGGAAGGATTGCTTCAGGCCAGAAGTTTGAGACCAGCCTGGGCAATATAGTGAGACCCCTATGTCTACAAAAAACAAAAAAAATTAGCCGGTTGTGGTGGCACACACCTGTGGTCCCAACTACTCAGGAGACTGAGGTAGGAGGACACTCGAGCCCCAGAGGTTGACACTGCAGTGAGCCATGATCACGCCACCGCACTTCAGCCTGCGCTAACAGAGCAAGACCCTGCTTCAAAACAAACAACAACAACAAATCTCCTTAAGCAAGCTAGAAGTCAGACAGAGAAGCTCATTTAATCAATCTTGGTGGTGTATTTTTGTTAAAATGAAAAGCATTCTATATTTCTAGCAAAACCTGCCTTCATTTAAATAAATGAAGGTGTCTGTGTGAACAGTTCTCAACATCTTCCATATTCTGTTGAGTCAAATTGTAAAATGGAGTCAGGTTAGAAGAGGAGAGGGAATAAAAGAGGTGCGTAGAGTGGGGTGGTCTGTTCTAGCTCTCCTACAAAAAAAAAAAGTGATGCCACAGGAAAGGGTATTGGGAAATACAACTGATGGGAGAGGCTAATTCTTGCAGTTCGATGAGAAAATAGGAAGGCGCAGAGAAAGGATGCAAAGGAAATGAAAGAGAAGGCAGGGAAGGATGCAAGGAGTGGCAAAAACAAAGCCATCCAAAATAGAAGAAAACCTTTCAGTCCTCTCAAAGAGATTTCACACGAGCTTCTGCTTGACTCCACAATGTGCTGTTCCCATTTCAGAAATTAAATTGATCCCCTACTCTCTGGTGACATCCACTCTTGGGAATGGGGCACAGCACATTGTCAACTCATATAAGGAAGATATTATGGAATTGAGGCAAATCCCTCAGAAAGTAGTTCATGCTTTCATTCTCATGGAGCTTAGATAGAGGGGCTCAAGAAGCTTAGTTATTTAACCTGTGTAAAGAAACAGGATCCAGATGCTTTGGAGATTAATTAAAAGGGTCCACCCTGAGGTTCACAAAGAAAGGCCAAATCTTGCCAGGACCTGGAAACTCATTAAGCGCCTGTCCAGGACATGACATGGTGCTGAGGAAGGCCTCAGTATAGAGACAATGTGAGGGGGGATTATGGACCTCTCAGTGTGCTTAGCTATTGTACCACAAAAGATGCTGTGAACTTGTCTCCTTAAAGAAAGGCATTGAAGATGAGGAACAGCCCCCCACTGGCCTCCAGGACCTCTTGACTACCTCTTCGCACAAAGCATTCTTATGTCAAGAACGGGAAGAAAATGTAGAGAAGGCCAGTATTTCTAGCCAGGACAGGCTCTGAGCTAACTAACATGCCAATGGATATCTGTTTCTCTGTCCATGAATCGTCCCCCAGGCACAGAGTAGAACATATGCCAAGTATGCTATATTTTTATCTGCCCCATCGTCTGCATACCATGTTGCCAAACACCAAAATATTACTTCGTGCTTAGTCCATCACGCAGACAATGCTGAAGAGTCCCACTATTGCTTATTAACGTGGTTTTATCAAATTCAAACATTTAGAAGCAGCGTTTAGGAGAAAGCCATGGCATTGGATCACTATGTTTGAGTACCACCAAGGAAAGGACAGAAAGGGTTCTGACGGCACTCTCTACGACACTGGAGAAACCCTCCCAAGGTATTTTTCTTTGTAAAGAGAGCAAATGGGTATATATTTTTTGAAATTTAGATATAACTTACATACATAAAAAGCACTCATTTTCTTAAGTGTGCAGCTTGATTAAATTTTACATAAGTCTACCCTTGTGTAACAACCACTCAGATCAATAAATAGAATATTTCTTTTTTCTTTGTTTTTTGTCTCGCTCTGTCACTCAGGCTGGAGTACAGTGTTGTGATCATAGCTCACTGCAACCTCAAACTCCTGGCCTCAAGTGATCCTCTCATGACTTGGCCTCCTAAAGTACTGGGATTATGGATGTGAGCCATCATGCCTGGCTAATATATAGAATATTTCTGTCACCTCATGAGATTCCCTCATGCCCCCAGCCAATCAATAACCCCTCAAAAGTAACCATTAACCTGACATCTACATTTATAGATTTGTTTCTGTCAATTCTTGAATTTCATGTGGGTGGAATCCTGCCATACGTTCTTAAAGCATATACTTTTTGTTTTTCTCTTCTATCACTCCAAACTACGTCTATGAGCCTCACCAATGTTAAATATAGGTGTTCATTTTTTTATTGATGTGTAGTATTCTATTATAAATATTCTAGAGTTTATTCATTCTACTATGGTTGAACAGTTGGGTTGCCTACAATTTTTAGTTATTAAAAATAAAGTTTCTGTAAATATTCTTATACACATCTTTTGGTGGATATATGTGCTCATTTTTCTTGGGTATATTCCCAGGAGTGAAATTGCTGGATCAGAGGGTAGGTTTATATTTAACCAAACTGTTTTTTAAATTTGTACATTCTACAGAAGCAATGTCTGAGAGTTCCAGTTTCTCCACATTCTTACTCTCACTTAGAATTGTCAGTCCTTTTAATTTTTGCCATTCTGCTGAATGTGAATGATATTCAGCATAGTTTTAATGTGCATTCCCCTGAAGTCTACTGCTTTTGAGTATGGGTATAGTTGTATAAATACAGTGATCACTTTGGAATCATTTCCCAATGAGAGCAGGAATAATTTAAAAGGAACATTGGAAGAAAATGACTGTGAAATCAAATACTGTACTTTCATCCATGCTTATCCCCCTATGCGTTTTCTTTTCTATGTTGCCACCTTTCTGTTTCATTCAATAAATACTTGTGAATGTTGACTCCTTTCAGTGGACAAACCAAGACTTTCTCCCTTCCCCTCTCCCTTCTCTAGTTCTCCTTAGAGTGGAAACAAATAAATGGAAATAAAGGCACTGGGATGTAGTATATAGCTTTGGGGAATTCCACCTCACCAGACTTTCCTTCTCTGAGAACTAGTCCACATATACAGATGTGGGTCCCTAAAACAATGTTTGTATCATGTGACCCCACCTCTTCCACTGATTGGATAAGAGGGGGCGCCTGATCTAGAGGAAGGGCCTTCACTTGTTGGCATTTGTTGGCATGAGCCCAAAAGCTTTTCTATCCTGAGCATTTGGGGTTTGGATATTGAGATGCTAGTCAGTTTACCAGGAACCCCGGAACTGAGAGGGTGTGGAGAGGAGCCCAACGCACAGAGAAGAAGAGAAAGCTAGTCTACAGACAGAGAGATCAATAAAGAGGAGATATGCAGACCGGGTGCAATGGCACACGTCTGTAATCCCAGAACTTTGGGAGGCTGAGGTGGGAAGATCACTTCAGCCCAGGAGTTCAAGACCAGCCTGGGCAACATGGCAAGACCCTGTCTCTACAAAAAAATTAAAAAAAAAAATAGTAGGGTGTGATGGCGTGCACCTGTGGAGCAAGACACTGGAGAGAGACAGAGAGAGAGGGAGAGATGCAGAGACAAGATGGAGTGCAGCTAAGAGAAACTAACTCCCACCATGTGTAATTTCTGGTTCCATCCCTGCGGACCCTCAGCAGCCTTCCTGCCTTGGGTTCTGTGAGATGTCTTAATAGTGATTCGAGAGAATTTCCCATTTTTGGTGAAGTTAGTTCAAGTACATTTTTGTTAGTTGCCCACAAAAGTCATGAGTAAAAGAATTCTTGTCCAACTCCCTCTTGGCTGTGGATGAGAGAAGACTAAACTCCATGTGGCCTGTATCTGCTCCATCCAAGCCTCCCTCCTTCCAGGCTAACCCTGCAAATGCTAAGATTTTCTATACTAAACCCAGCAAATAATGGAAATAGAATCAAAACCGGAAAGTGCTAAAAATATGAGACCATGGGATCTCCTACTAAATTTTAGCCTCAGCTGCCTTCTTCCTCTTCCTACTTTCTTCTTTGATCATGGTCCCTTTTATCTTCTTTCTCCCTTACCACTTCTCTTCTTTTATTCCTTTGCTTCAGCCTCTTGCCTTTTAAAAACATGCTGTTTGCAGAGAACAAGGATGGTCATAAAACAAAAGCATAATGGTGTGAGGATGATGTTCTCCAAACCCTGGGGTGCTGTGTTTTTGTTTCTGTATGTGTCCCTGTGAGACTTTTGGGCACAAAAAAAACCTATTGACTAAAGAAAAACAGTGCCTGGGATGAGGGTTCATAAACTGCAGAGATCAAGAAGCAAACCAGGTCCCATGTGAATGCAGCCCGGTTTTCAGAGCTGTGTGAGTTCCAGCTTGATAGAGATTTCACAGACTTGCAAATACAGAAAGACAGAAGGAACAAATGTCTTTGCTTAAAAAAAGAAAGAATTTGGTAATTAAAATAAAAGCAAATAGAGCATTAAATGTTAAGAAAAGTACCCTTTCAAATGATTTAACTAGTTTTATAATCTAGCTGTGACCCAGATGTTTACTTAGAAGACATTACAGCTCTGTATTATATGAAGTAATTAATATTTAATGCAACTGCCCCTAATGTTATAAAATATGAAAACAGTAGTTATGAAGTTGCTCTGAGAAACAGCCTAAAAGATGAATGAAGAGGCAGCTTCCCAAAAGCTTTGTGATGTGCTCAAAGGCAGACCAAAAAAAATGCAATATGGAAATAGAGATGACAAACATAAACAGTATGGTCTGTTTTCTTATATGTATCATATTTTTTAATTCCCATATGTACACATTGTTTTGTGTTTAGAACATTCTTTTCTGCAAGGTGTTAAAGGAGGAGATGGAAAAAAATACTTAATGGGTGTAGTCTCACAGCCTGAGGAAGGCCTTGGGAAGCTCTAGCATCCCTGAGAGGAAGCCTTTAAAGGACTGGACCCGGAAAGCACCTACTAAAGTGTATCGTCTTTGTTTTCCATGACACTCAATTACATTGCAACCCGATCCTGTGGTTTCTGCAAGGAAATTCCATCCCACCTTCCTAAGCATTATTTTCTTTTTAAATGACAAAAGTGAAACAAGAAAACTGATTTTCTCATGTACTCCCTTTAATCCTTAACCTACTTAGCCTCATGTCCCTCCAGTGGCAAAAAGAATTAATCACATTGTAGTGCGGGAAAACCCATCAGCTGAAAAAGTTACATTATGTAAAGAGGAGGTATTAGTTAGCTACAGGCTGAAGTCTCTTGCCTGATGCCAAACGTTTGTGTTATTTTCCCGAAACAGGATGGAACCAGATGCTGGGTTAGACAGGTTCTAAGCACAATGGTCTCCAGCGAGATTGTCCAAAAGACATGTCCACATATGTGACTTAGGAGGACAACTTTGTCATTGTGCAAATGGAGGTTAAACTTTGCTTGTGCCTTTGCAATATTTTTCCAAGTAAGTTTTAAGCTCAGGTTTTTAATATTATTCTTCATAAGTAAGGCAACTTAATGCATGCAGTGGGGAGCAACCTGCACAGGGTTTTTGAGAAACCCTACTGGGCTTCATTTGCAGAAAAGGATACGGCTGCCCAGCATCCTTCCTCTGGCGCAGTCTTTACCTTCTCTCTCCCAGAGATTCCCAGTGTCAGAGTCTCTTTGCTGGGTCAAATATCGGAGGCTATCGGTCACTGCTGATAAGAATTTATTGACCACTCCAAAACACAGCCAGGCTTTAGATCTTAGTTTAAATGTCACTTTATTAGAAATACATTCCACTAGACTCCAGGCTAGCTTATATGTTATCACATTGATGATTGTATTGTTGAGATTATTTGATGAAGGTCTGCCTCCAGCCTCCTGTCCCCCAACTCTAAGTTCCCAGCACAGTGCTTAGTTTGATCACTTCAGTTTGCATTCTCAGTACCCAGCCCGTAACCTAACCGTTTCTAGGTACTTAACAAGTATCTATTGAGTGAATGAATCAATGAGTGAAAAATATACTATTTAATGGAATGCAATTCAAAAAATGTTTATCTATTACCCACTGCATGGTTGGCACTGAGCTGAGCTCCAGGAAATCTAATAAATGACCTATCTCTGTGCGGGGTTGCCCTAGGCATTAACCTCAGTCCCCTTCTCAGATCCTCACTCTTTCTGGGCAAGCACATTCTTCACAGTGACTTTAATCACCACCTTTGTATGTAAGGATCACAAAAATCTGATCTCTGATCACAAAGACACTTCTCCCTAGATTATAGCCACTTTACTAACCCAGAATCAGACCAATAGGGAATGTCACAATTTGGGAAAGTTAAAATCTGAAAGTAATTTGATGCACTCCAGCTATGCCCTGGGAGCCTTTGCCTTGGAAATTTTAAGACCAGGTTTCAAGAGAAACCTCCCTACTCTTGCCTGGGGACTAGTTTATGAGGAATCCTAAAGCCCAGACAAATGCATATGTTAGCTGAGAACACTGGCTATCCATATGCAGAAGAATGAAACTAGACCCCTCTCTCTTGACATATATAAGAATCAAATCAAAATGCACCAAAGACTTAGATCTAACACCTGGAACTGTAAAACTACTAAAAGAAAACACTGGAGAAAGTCTCTAGGACTTTGGTCTGGACAATGATTTCTCAAGTGATACCTCAAAAGCACAGGCAACCAAAGCAAAAATGGACAAATAGGATCACATCAAGTTAAAAAGCTTCTGCACAGCAAAGAAAACAATCAACCAAGTGAAGAATAGGAAAAAATATTTGCAAACTACTCATCTGACAAGAGATTAATAATCAGAATATATAAGAAGCTCAAAGAACTGAATGGGAAAAAACATAATATCCAATTAAAATGGGCAAAATTCATCCCTGACAGGTCAGAGAAAAAAATGGGCAAAAGATCTGAATAGACGTTTCTCAAAAGAAGACACACGAATGGCCAACAGATATATGAAAAAATGCTCAACATCAATCAGAGAAACGCAAATCAAAACTGCAATGAGATAGCATCTCACTGCAGTTAAAATGGTTCATAACCAAAAGGCAACAGCAAATGCTGGCAAGGATGTGGAGAAAGGCGAACTTTTGTATGTTTTTGGTTTTGCATGTTTTGGAGAACAGGATGGAGGTTCCTCAAAAAACTAAAAATAATGCTGCCTTATGATCCAGCAATCTCACAGCTGGGTACATACCCAAAAGGAAGGAAATCAGTATATCAAAGAGATATCTGTACCCCCATGTTTATTGCACACTATTCACAACAGCCAAGATTTGGAGTCAGTCTAAGTGTCCATCAATGAATGAATGGATAAAATAAATGTAGTACATATACACAATGTAATATTATTCATCTCTAAAATAGAATGAAATCCTGCCATTTGCAATAACATGGATGCAGCTGGAGAACATTGTTAAGTGAAATAATCCAGGCACAGAAATATAAATGCATATTCTCACTCATGTGTGGGAGTCAAAAATTAAAACAATTGAACTCATGGAGATAGTGAGGAGAATGATGATTACCAGAGGCTGGGAAGGGGTGGGGGGAGTGGAAATGGTTAATGGGTGCAAAAATATAGTTAAAATGAATAAGATCTAGTATTTGATAGCACTACAGGGTGACTAAAGTCAACGATAATTTATTGTATATTTTTAAATAACTAAAATGGTGGAATTGGAATGTTCCTCACACAAAGAAATGATAAATACTTGAGGTATGGATGACCTTTCCCCACAAAATGAGTATGTTAATAACAATACCCCAATCAGACTTCATGTTTATATAGTGCCTTATAATTAAAATTTTTAAGTGCCTTCATATTATCACTATAGTACGGATTTTCTAAAAGGGTTCAAGGAAGCTAATTACTTGCCCAAGTTCCAGGGCTTTCTCTGTCCAAAGCTGGTGATGAAAGAAAAAAGAAAAAAGAAGTCTTAGGGCTAAAATTAATATATGGCATAGCTCTATGCCCCAGCTTAGCAGTATTCATTCTGTGCCACCACAAGTCTCACCTTGATGCTCTAGGAAACGATGAGTCCTGAAAGTCAATGAGTAGGTGGATAATAGGAGGGAAGAGCATTCAAGAAGGAGTAATATGGCAGGGATAGGCAGGGAGGAGGAAAACTGAGTTTAGGGGGCCTAGTAGAAACCACAGTGTGATGCAGGTGGGTGGTGATGAGGGCTCGGTTTAGAGACGAAGCAGAAACACAGAAGTGTTGGAGCTTGGTGCTAAATGAAATTAGAGGATAAAGGAGAGATCTGATTTCAAAATGTCTTTAAAGTTTCAAACCTTGGCAGTTAGAAGCAGAGAAGCTGGGAACGGGAGCAGGTTTGGAGGGAGTCAATGACCTTAATTGTGGACATTGGGAAATGAGAGTGTGAGAGCTATGGGTGTATCTGAACACTGTACCTTCATAGAGAGGCTGGGTAAGAAGTAGCCCCAACAAGGTGGTTCAGGGAGGAAGATGAGAATTTCTCATGGAAGCTGTGGTGATCAGGCCAGGGGGGGAATTGCCATAATTCAATTCAAGGAATATGCATCTAGGCTGGGCGCGGTGGCTCACGCCTGTAATCCCAGCACTTTGGGAGGCTGAGGCGGGTGAATCACGAGGTCAGGAGATCGAGACCATCCTGGCTAACACGGTGAAACCCCCTCCCTACTAAAAATATAAAAAATTAGCCGGGCGCGGTGGCGGGCGCCTGTAGTCCCAGCTCCTCGGGAGGCTGAGGCAGGAGAATGGCGTGAACCCGGGAGGCGGAGCTTGCAGTGAGCCGAGATCGTGCCACTGCACGCCAGCCTGGGCGACAGAGCGAGACTCCATCTCAAAAAAAAAAAAAAGGAATATGCATCTAAAATGGGATTGTGGCTAAAGAATAGAAAGAGACAGAGCAGATGGAGGATATGGAAGAATGGAGCAAAACAGGGGTCAGAGATGAATGAAGGTTAGAGTAGAGAACAGTGTTTTTGAGGCAGGAAACGGGAGGTTGTTTGCGAAAATCTTCTAAAGCTCATCCAACAGCTGGCATTTTGCAAGCTCCTGAAATTGTGAGTGAGGCAAGCCAGGACCATGGAAAGGAGTTTGGAATGGACCAAAGGTGGAGCCCTTTAAGTAGCAGGATTGAGGGGACTGGAACTATAGTGAGAAGTGGGGCTGGAAATTAGCAGCAGAGAGGCGATCACTGTGTTATAAGAACGAGCGAGCTTTTTGAGCAGAAAATAACAGATAGCAGATGGGTGGACCAAGGACTAATCTTGGAGCCTCTAGAGGGATACCGTCTAGACCACAACTGATTCCACAGCTGCGGTGGCAATGTGCCAACAAAGAAAGGGGAGAAATTCCGCTTGGTGAACAGGCCAAGGGGATCTCTAACTTTCCAGTTATGCCCAGGCTTTGCATGATATCTTGACCTTAGAATTAGATGAGACACCAATTCAGGTAATTCCACATCCACTCTTCTTAAGGTCTGACAATGCCTCCGGCAACATAGTACCTTTTCTGTGTTTCTTTTTTCTTTTTTCTTTTTTTCTGGTTCAGTATTTGACTGCTTCTTGGGGGGTGGCTACTATGTCTTAGCTGCAACCTTCAGCCCTAGCCAAGATAGATGTGACTTTCTGCAGCTGACTTCAGGATCCCTGTTACTCTCTAGCCTCAATCTGGGTTTTTGCGCAAGCGTGGGATGGGAGATGCATGAGATGTTTTCAAGAGAATGTTTGTGAGAGGATATTCCAGCCTCCTAGGTGCACATTTTTGGGGGGGCCTGTCCCAGTATCAATTGACAGAGAAAAAAAATGTTTTTTTTATCAGTGACCCTCTAAGTAGGCAACTCTATTGTTTTTTAAGTTACTCTTAGGTTTCCAATAAAACTGGAGTAGGATCCAAATTTTTATCTCCAATGCCAAAATCCTCCCTAACTCCAGATTTTCCTCTCAGGCTGCTTACAGAATATCTTTGCCTACATGTTCCACAAACACACCAGACTTTACTTGCTGAAAAGTGAGATCAGCATCTTTCTATCACATCTGCTTCTCCTACATGTGTCTTATCTTGCTTAACAGAAACACCATCCAATTAGTCCCTGAAGCTAGAAACTTTGATTCTGCCACTCTGTGGCAGATGCTGGCCACAAATTTATTTCCCATTCCTCCTGTGCACAGGGGGAGTGGGAAATGAGTAGTATAGTATAACAATAGAGAGAGAAGAATGAGGATGACTCATTAGAGACAAGCATAGAAAAAAAGAGCTGGTAAAAGAGTTTTTAAGTTGAGAAGAGAGCAAGGGGAAGATTGGGGTGTCTGTTCTGTAGGCTTGTTTGCCAAAACTCTATTATGGGGACAGGATGGGGAAGGGGCCATTATGCTTCAACTCTCAAGAAAAACTTTGCAATTTATTTGTCTCCCTGGGCAGGATCTGGTATGTGTACAGACACAACTTAAATCCAGTCTCACACTGACATAATAGGAATGTTAAAAGGATCTTATAGAGAGGAACTGGCTCGTTTCTTGGTGTACTAGTCAGGGTTCTCCAGAGAATTAGAACCAATAGGATATAGATAGAGGGAGAGAGATTAAGAGATTGAAAGAAAGATTAAGAGAGATTTATTTTAAGGAATTGGCTCATACAATTGTGTGGCTGGCAAATCCAAAATCTTCAGGGCAGGCAGCAGGCTGGAAACTCAGGCAGGGTTTCTATGCTGCAGTCTTGAGGCACGATTTCTTTTTGTTCAGGAAACCTGTCTTTGCTTTTAAGGCTTTCAACAAATTGGACTAAGTCCATCCACATTATAGAGGGTAATTTGCTTAATTTAAAGCCTACTGATTCTAAATGTTAATCACATCTAAAAAATATATTCACAGCAGCATCTAGACTAGTGTTTGACCTAACAACTAGGCACCATAGCCTTGCTAAGTTGACACATGAAATTCATCACCACACTGGGTAAGTGCATTCTCAGTAACAATCCCTTTGGAAGCTGTGACTTCCCTTCCTCAGTCAAGGAGAACTTTATACTGCTCTTTCCACCATGCACAAAGGGAAAAACGAGTCCTGCTGTCAACCTCCAGCCAGCAAAGAGGCACAGAAGAAGAGAGTGGAAGACCTCAAGGAAGACTGCCTGTGGGGGCCAGACCTGGAAGTGACATATATCACTTCCTCCTGTTCTGTCAGCCATACCTAACAGCGGTGGAGCCCGGGAAGCATTGTTTAGCTGTGCACAGGAGGAATGGGAAATAAGTTTGTGACCAGCATCTGCCACAGAGAGGTAGAATTAAAGTTTCTAGCTTCAGGGACTAATTGGACAGTGTTTCTGTTAAGCAAGATAAGACACATGTAGGAGAAGCAGATGTGATAGAAAGATGCTGATCTCACTTTTCAGCAAGTAGAGTCTGGTGTGTCTGTGGAACATGCAGGCAAAGATGTCCTGTAAGCAGCCTGAGAGGAAAATCTGGAGTTCAGAGAGGATTTTGGCATTGGAGATAAAAATCTGGAGGCCTGTGGGTAGTGTAACAATAGAGAAGAGAAGAATGAGGATGACTCATTAGAGACAAGCATAGGAAAAGGAGCTGGTAAAAGAGTTTTTAAGCTGAGAAGACAGCAAGAAGAACAGGATCTTAAAAGTTAACAGAGAGGCCAGGTGCGGTGGCTCACTTCTGTAATTCCAGCACTTTGGGAAGTCGAGGTGGGCGGATCACTTGAGGTCAGGAGTTCGAGACCAGCCTGGCCAACATGGTAAAACCCCGTCTCTACTAAAAATACAAAAATTAGCTGGCTGTGGTGGTGGGCACCTGTAATCCAAGATCCCAGCTACTTGGGAGGCTGAGGCAGGGGAATAGTTTGAACCGAGGAGGCGGAGTTTGCAGTGAGCTGAGATCGTGCCATTGCACTCTAGCCTGGACACGAGAGCGAAACTGCATCTCAAACAAAAAAGTTAATGGAGGAGAAACTTTCAAAAAAGGGAGTGGCCAATGGTGTCAGATATTATAGAAAAAATGAAGAAAATTCAGAAAATGCTATTTGTCGTTAGTGATTATTTTCTGTCTTCCACATTCAAAAATCCTCTCTCAGATTGTTCTCCTTTTGGAAAAGATCAGGGTGACCAATTTACATGATGATATTAATAATATCTGGGATCAAGAGAGCAGTTGAGCACAAGCATTTGTCTATGCTCCTCATCTAAGACACCGTTCAAATGGCAGCAAAAGAATTTTTTTTCCAAATCATGATGAAAGAATTTTTAAATTTTAATTATTTATTTTTTAAGAGACAGAGTCTTGCTCAGTTGCCCAGGCTGAAGTGCAGTGGTGCAATCATGGTTTACTGCTGCCTCAACAACCTGGGCTCAAGCAATCCTGCTGCCTCAGCTTCCCAAGCAGTTGGGACTACAGGTGTGCATCACCATACCTGGTTGTTTTTTTTTATTTTTATGTTTCAGAGACAGGGTCTCCCTATGCTGCCCAGACTGGTCTCCAACTCCTGGCCTCAAGTGATCTTCTTGCCTTGGCTTCCCAAAGTGCTAGTATTACAGGCAAGAGCCACCACGCCCTGCCAGAATTTTTTTTTTTCTCTCTACAACAACAGAGAATAGGAGAGTTTTTAAATACTTCTGGAAAACAGAGTGAAGAAAAGAGAGTTCACAAAGCAGACGAAACCAAAATGAATAGCAGCCAGCCTGAATCCACAGGAGGCGCCCATCTGAGTGAAGCCAGGAAGCAGAAGTGTGGGAGTGAGGAGAGGGCCTGAGATGGGAGGTGTGAGTAAAAGACACACAGTGGAAAAGGAAAGTGCGAGTATAGAACGTGAGGCAGAGAAGAAGGGGGCGGGGGAGAGACATAAGAAGATGGAGAAGAGGAGCAGGAGGAGGGGAAGGAACAGAAGAACTAACTCATTTCTACTTAAAGCTCTAAATTGTCTCCTTTGAGAGGCATGAGAGGCTCTGACCACAGATCTGAAAGGAGAGAAGGGCCATCTCAACATTGCTGGGCTCTGCAGTGAGCACTGCTTGCCTGGGCATTACAATGCAAATTCCGTTGGCATTCCGTTGTTTTTCAGCTACTAAAACCAATCTATGGATCAATCATGGAAGATTAATTATGGTGTCACAATAAAATGTATTATCAGTCTTGGCAAGAAAAAATTAATAGAGCTCTACCATGGAAGACAGGACATGCGAAATTTCCTTATCGCTGACTTTCAAGTGACAGGTAATTCGAGAGTCACAATTGTAGATGAAACAAGGAGTGGAGGTTGAGTTGGCTGGAGGTACAGGTGAGCCCAGTGGAGGAACTGACTGTGGTGAAAGCGGGCACACAGGGGCAGTGAAATGAAGTTAAACCCTCATCCATCCTCACAGAAAGTTAAAAGGCAATATTTCAAATAGATAAATCAATAAATATTATGTATAGACATAAAAGTCAGAAGCATTTGAACCAGTCGTTAAAAGCAGCTCCCTCAGAGCTGTGGGACCAAGAGGAAGGAGTATTAAGAAGGAGAAACGCTGCTTTTATGTTTTCTGTTATTTGACTTTTTTTAACCATGTGTAAAATTGGTTGTGTTTTAATACATAAAAATGTAGAGGTCGGACGCAATGGCTCACGCCTGTAATCCCAGCACTTTGGGAGGCCGAGGCGGGTGGATCATGAGGTCAAGAGTTTGAGACCAGCCTGGCCAACATGGTGAAACCCCATCTCTACTAAAAATACAAAAATTAGCCTGGTGCAGTGGCGTGCGCCTGTAGTCCCAGCTACTCGGGAGGCTGAGGCAGGATAATTGCTTGAAACCAGGAGGCGGAGGTTGCAGTGAGCCGAGATTGCACCACTGCACTCCAGCCTGGGCAACAGAGCGAGATTCTGTCCCAAAAAAAAAAAAATGTAGACACTGATATGGGAAGAAGTCCAAGTAATGTTAAGTTTTAAAAATCACGTTGCAGGCAGGGTGCAGTGTCTCATGCCTGTAATCCCAGCACTTTGGGAGGCCAAGGTGGGTGAATCATCTGAGGTCAGGAGTTTGAGACCAGCCTGATCAATAAGGTGAAACCCCATCGCTACTAAAAATACAAAAATTAGCTGGGCATAGTGGTGCGCACCTGTAATCACAGCTTTTGGGAGGCTGAGGCAGGAGAATCGCTTGAACCAGGGAGGCAGACGCTGCAGTGAGCCAAGATGGCACCATTGCACTCCAGCCTGGGCAACAAAATGGGACTCTATCTCAAAAAAAAAAAAAAACACATTGTGGAAAGATAGATACATCATGATATCATTTATACAAAAAGGAATACAAAACAAAATAGTTCCTTACGTACTGTGGGTACATACCAAGGGGTCTTCAAAAATTCATGGAAAATGCACTCATGAAAAAAACTATGCATGCATTTTAATTTTTTGGGGATCAAAATAAACTCATACTAACTTGTTATAATATGTCTAAACAGGATCTAGCCGATGCTCTAAGAAGGATAAGACATCAGTTTGAAAAGAGCCCTTACCTTTACCAGAATGAATTCTGCTAAAATTGAAGCAAAAACAGACATCAAATTTATGGTAAAGCGTGGATGGAAGAATGGTGAAATCATTAATGCTTTACAAAAAGTTTATGGAGACAATGCCCCCAAGGGAGTCATCTGTTCATAAAGGGATAATTTGTTTTAAGAAGGGAGGAGACAGTATTGAAAATGAATCCCATCATTTCAGTGGCAGACCATCCACATTAATTTGCAAGGAAAAAATTCATTTTGTTTGTGCCTTAACTGAAGAAGATAAACAATTAACAGCACAAACAATGGCCAACACCATAGACATCCCGACTTGTTCAGTTTACACAATTCTGACTGAAAATTTAAAGTTAAGCAAACTTTCCCTTCAATGAGTACCAAAACCATTGCACCCAGATCAGCTACAGATGAGAGCAGAGCTTTCAATGGAAACTGGAAACAAGTGGGATCAAGGTCCTGAAGCATTTCTTCGAAGAACTGTAACGTGAGATGAAACATGGCTCTACTGGTATGATCCTGAAGGCAAAGCCAATCAGAACAACAGCTACCAGTGGAAGCGGTCCAGTTAAAACAAAAGCAAAGGTCAAGAGCAACGGTCATGGCAACAGGTTTGGAGGATGCCCAAGGCATTTTGTTTGTTGACTTTCTGGAGGGCCAAAGAACAATAACATCTGCTTGCTATGATCATGTTTTGAGAAGGTTAGCCAAAGCTTTAGCAGAAAAATGCCCAGGAAAGCTTCAACAGAGAGTCCTTCTCCACCATCACAATGTTCCTGCTCATTTCTTTCGTCAAACAAGGGCAATTTTGTGAGCTCCCAAGGGATATTATCAGGCATCCACCTTACAGTCTGATTTGGCTCCTTCTGGTTTCTTTTTGTTTCCTAATCTTAAAACATCCTTAAAGGGCCCCTATTTTTCTTGAGTTAATAATGTGAAAAAGACTGCATAGACATGGTTAAGTTCCCAGGATTCTCAGTTCTTTAGGGAGGGACTAAATGGCTGGTATCATTGCTTACGAAAGTGTCTTGAACTTGATAGAGCTTATGTTAAGAAATAAAGTTTATATATTTTTTATTTTTATCTTTTAATTCAATTCTTCCACAAACTTATTGAAGTGCCCTCATATGTTTGTATGCAGATGCACAGAAAATACCTGGGAAGATTTACACTAAACTGACAGCAATGTTTTTGGCTGGTGAGAGGATAGGGTTGGGGGTGGAGAACAGGTGGTCCCTGGCAGGGTCTCCCGGTCAACACTGCATAACTCACAGGGCAAGGTAATCTCTGTGAACCTGTGTGACATTGTGGTCCTGCTCAAGGGATGCTTTAGCTTTATTTGTAATGTTTAGATTTTTTTTGTTGTTTTTTTTGTTTGTTTGTTTTACAAGCAAAGCATCTTACTTTTGCGATAAAAATAAACTGAATAAGGCTGGGTGCTGTGGCTCATGCCTGTAATCCCAGCACTTTATGAGGCCAAGGTGGGTGGATCACCTGAGGTCAGGAGTTCCAGACCAGCCTGGCCAACATGGTGAAACCCCATCTCTACTAAAAATACAAAAAATTAGCCGGACATGGTGGCACATGCCTGTAATCCCAGCTACTTGGGAGGCTGAGGCAGGAGAATCGCTTGAACCTGGGAGGTGGAGGTTGCAGTGAGCCAAGATTGCACCATTGCACTCCAGCCTGGGCAACAAGAGCAAAACTCTGTCTCAAAAACAAAAATAAACATACTGAATAACTACCAGTTAGTGGCTGGTAGTTATTCAATGTATTATCTCTTCCATGAGCATTGTGGTTTTATTATGGGTCAATTCTTAACTGCAAAGAATGAATATCTAATAAAGCTGTTCAGAGATCAAGGGAAGTGAAAGAGGAAGTCATGTGGATCAGGAAGGAGTCTCGGGGTTCTTGAAGTTGCCCATGTGAGCAATTGTTAGTGCTGACCATGCGTGTGCCCACAGAGTCAATAAGGTTTCCTAACGTGCCATGCTTTCCATAAATTAAACTAGATGATTGTTCTGATGCTGAAGCACTAGACAAGCTCCACAAGAAGATCCCTGTGACTCTCTGATTTCTTTCTCATTCAAACAAAAACAAAAGCCAGGCCTGGTGGAACATGCCTATAGTCCCAGCTACTTGGGAGAATGAGGTGGGAGGACTGCTTGAGCCCAGGAGTTTGAGGCTGCAGTAAGCTATGATCACACCAGCGCACTCCAGCTGGGTAAGAGAGCAAAACCCTATCTCAAAAAAAAAAAAAAAAAAAAGAAATTAAAATAAATAGTAATAATGGTAAATTTACCATGCCCTGGTTCTCCCCCATTTAAACACCCTATTACTGTATCTGGTTCTCTGTGTCTGTGGGCCATCTTCCTAAGAAGTTCCCTGGGCAGCCTCTCTTGAAGTTAGAAAGAAGCTATTACTTGCTAACGGTGAAGAGGTGGAAAGAATGAGTGGGGTGGGGTGGGGGAGATGGGAGATGGGGAATAACTGCCGGAAGATGAAAGAGAAAAATGCAGCGAGCGACTATATTCTGGCTTAGCCCCCTCCATAAAAGCCACAGTAAAACGTATGTCTCCATTTTCAGTTTTTACCATGAAGAATCATGTATGGTTTAGAATCAATAAAAGTAACACAAATATCTGAAGAGGACATATGTCTCTTGAATTTAGAAAACATTAAAGAAACAAAGCCATAGATTTGGGTCCTAAGTCACAGTGGTCACTTCAAGATGTAATTCTTCTTTTCTTTTTTTTTGAGACAGCGTCTCACTCTGTTGCTCAAGCTGGAGTGCAGTGGCACAATCACAGCTCACTGCAACCTCACCTCACAGGTTCAAGTGATTCTCGTGCCTCACCTTCCCAACTAGCTGGGAATATAGGCATGCTCCACCATACCTGGCTAATTTTTTTATTTTTGTAGAGATGGGGTCTCATTATGTTGCCCAGGCTGGTCTTAAACTCCTCAGCTCAAGTGATCCTCCTGCTTTGGCCTCCTAAAGTGCTAGAATTACAGGCATGAGACACCACAAGATGTAGTTCTTGTAAGACTTGGTTCTCATCATTAGCCACAGATTAGTCCAGGTTTGCCACAGTTCAGATTCAAAAGAAATGTACCCTGGCCACTCTATGAAACATATTTTATGCATTTTGCTGCATTAGAAATTAAGACAGTCCCCCACAGTAAGGCTTTAAAAAATGAAGCCTTAGGCATATACAAACAAAATGGAGTTTTGACGGGGTATTATTTAACACAGATAGTCTTCATTTTACAAAGAGATAGACAGGATTACAGAATATTAAAGCTAGAAGATATTTTGAACCATCAAGTCTTTTTACAGCTAAGGAAACTGAAGCTCAAGCTGAAGAAGCTGGATTTATTCAAAATTGCCTATGTAGTTCCAGGGACACTTAAAGAATCCTCGCTGATCTATTTATTCAGACAACAAATGTGCCTGGAGCATTTACAGTGTATTAGACAGTGTGCTAAACTCTCAGTAAATGCTAGCTTAGGTGCCCATGCAGGCATTACTGGTTGATCACCACACTCTTTTCTGCCTCAGAGCACTATCTACAAGGTGTTGCAAGTAGCCAATTGAAGTGAATCTTATTTGTGGTTCCTAGATTTAGGTATTTCTTTTAATTAGCTCTCCTCTAATTTATTTAAAATACAATAAAAATTGTGGACTAGGCTCAGGAACACCTTAAATGTTCCAAGGACAGTGCCTCCACCATGACCCACAGCACAGACCTGCTAGTGCTGACATGTGCCGGGTTCATTGTCCGACTCCCAGGAGTGAGCAGGATGGCACTTTTTTGTTTAACTGCCTTGGAATCTGTGGTGTTTTTTCTCACATTTACTTCTCTAAGACCCCACAGCTCAGTGGGCCAGAGTGAAAGCTTCCTGAGGCCCAAAGTCAAAACTCTAAGATCTGTATCCCTGAACGCTTATAACAGGAGCTCAGCTCTGTCCTCTAAACATGGTTGTCTAGGGCAGTAAAAAGCTCCCTGCTCAGCTTACAGAATCAGGAATCAGGTGAGCAAAGAATCACTGTGGGCAACCAAGCATTAAAGCAGCTTACAGTTCAGACACAGAGAAGTGGTTGAGGAGGAGGTAGGAAGGGAGTATCCAGAATTAATGACCCCTTTTATAGCGAACTTGATACCTACCAAATGTGGCACTATCCCAATAGTCTACTTGTTACCTTGGCTATGGGAATATCCCTGAGGCCTCTTTCAAACATTCAATCATTCAACAAATATTTTCTGAGCACTTATGATATGTCAGGCATTCTGCTAGGCCCTGGAGAAAAAGAGATAAGAAAGCCCATAGCCTCAGGAAACCTGCAGTCTGGAAAATGTATGGAGTTGTGTAAATAAATGGATGCAAAAGAAAATTATGGACTACTATAGAAGTAATTCTGAAATTAGAGAGCTCTTGATGAAAGCAACCATATTGTAGACCAAGAGAGGCCAAATAATTTGTGGAGCACAGTACAGACTGAAAATGCCAGGGCCCTTGTTAAAAAGTTATTAAGAAGGCACTCAGGAGGCTGAGGCAGGATGATCGCTTGAGCCCAGGAGTTTGAGGCTGTACTATGCTATGACTGCATCTGTGAATAGCCACTGCATTCCAGCCTGGGTAACTTAGCAAGACCCTGACTCAAAAAAAAAAAAAAGTTATTAAGCGTATCAAGATAGCAACAATAGAGCATTAAACCAAGCAAACATGGGCCCCTTCTAAGAATAGTGTGCTGTGTGTCTACACAGGTTGTACACTCATGAAGCTGGCCCTATTGGAGCCTCTGGTCTCCAGAAGGATAAGGATCATCCCTGAGAATGCCCAGCTTAATATTTAAGAAAGGAAAAGTAGTCAGCTAATTCAGTATATTCCCTTTGCTTTTACTGCGCCAAGGGTAACTATAATATCATGAGACAGCCTCAGGGTGACACCACATGCAGACACCGCTGTGATTCTGTGTGCCTCAGTCCTACCTTCCACCGCCCCTGAACTCGGCAGGGTACTCAAAACCACATCTCCCTCTGCAGCAACTCAGGATTCACAGACAAGTGGTTCCAATATGTCTGGCTTTGGAAACTGTTAGCTGGCCAACATCAGTGTTCAGCAATATTTGAGGGTAGCCAGACACCAGGTTCAGATGTAGGTGCGCCCACTTGAAGGGGAAGAAACTAGGTATTTGAAAGGCACTAAATTATCCTTCTCACACCTGATACACACTGCACAAATAACACCAGCTGGTTCCTGAAAATGCACACCTTGGTCCGCTGGGAAACCAAGAGCAGCAAATGTTCCTAAATATGCTAACAACTCTAATAAAAGTAAAGAGTGCTTAATTAAAGAAGTAATTAGCTTGGTACATAGGAAGGGACAGATGAACATATACGCAGTGAATATACACATCAATAACTTTTAGCTTATGAGCTTGCCGTTTGAAAGAGAATACTTATTTGATAGTTCTTAGCTGGGGACTCAGTGCTCCCCACCCTCCAACTCCACTCCAGGGAGGGAAGTGTTTGATGTGAGTGAAAGCCAAGGACATAATTGGGCCATGGTATGAGGGGTGGAACATTTGATATAACTAACAAAGAGGTTTAAAGCCCTGCCTTGCCAATAACTAGTTTTTTTTTTTTTTTAATTTTAATTTCTATCTCTTTCTGTTGTTGCCTGTCTTGGGTGCTTTTTCTTATCTGTGCAATGAGTATGGTAAGAGAGACCTGGGGTGACCAGCTGCTTGGGAGGGATGCCCATCCTGGGAAGGCCAAAGGGTGAGTGGCTAAGGTCAGCTCTGCTCTGTTTCCTTTAGAGAAATGTTATCTTTCCACTATTTTTTTCTTTGAGCCTGCCCTTCCTGCTTCTTCTTGCCATGAAACTGATAATAAGCCAGGATTCAGGGGCTCAGCCTTACAGAAAGAAACCAAGTGGCTTCTTTTGTTCTAGTTCTTGTACCAAAGTGTATTAGTCCACTTTTGCATTGCTATAGAGAAACTCCTAAGACTGGGTAACTTATAAGGAAAAGAAGTTTATTTTGGCTCAGGATGCTGCAGGCTGTACAAGAAGCATGGGGCCTGCATCTGCTCCTGGTGAGGCCTCAGGAAGCTTACAATCACAGTGGAAGATGACGGGGAGCCAGCACGTCACATGGCAAGAGAGGGGCAGAGAGGTGCCACACCCTTTTAAACAACCAGATCTCGTGGGAACTCAGCGCGAGAGCTCACTCATCGCCAAGGTGATGGTACTAAGCCATTCATGAGAGATCTACCCCCGTGAGACAAACACCCCCCACCAAATCCCACCTTCAACATTGGGGATTACAATTCAACATGAGATATGGAGGGGACAAACATACAAACCACATCACAGAGGTACAAAAGGAGGGTCTTGACCTCACGTGGTTGAGCCCACCTAACAGAGTTTGAGACCCTATAGTCATAAACCTGGCAGTGGTATGGAAGGTTCTTTTCTGCCCAGCTCTCTCATGATTCCATGGCAGGGGTTCATCTCTCTGTCTTGTAATAAGGCAAGCATGACTTAGGAGTATCATGCACTTACATGGAGCTAAATCCAAGATTTCCAATACTTTGTGACTCATCTTAATTCAGTTAAATCCAGGGAGCACTTATGAGCCTAATATGGGCAATTCACTCTCTAATCAGAAGCATATTTTTATTATAGCAGTGAAGAAACAAATTTATTTAGACTTGTTTATGACAATTATTAATTCATTAGCATTATATTTGGAATGCTGTTCTGCATAAAATTAATCTCAGTCCTTTTTTAAATTTTTTTTATCTTAAACTCAGTCGTAAGGTCTCAGTCCTTTAAAAAGTAAAAATGTTATTACAGAATTTGACTTAGGCCAGCAGTGCAGGCACCATACATCAAAGCTAGCCAGCAGAATTGAAGAGAGAGCCAAAAGGCATTTGATTGCAACTGCTGAGCAAACTTAGCTCAATTTCGGTCCTTCTTAGCCCCCTCTCAAGGCCCAGCCTCCCTTTTTCCTGTGATTCTCAGTACTGGCACCCAGCATGCAACCCCCTGGAGGTCACAGATCCTGTTACACATTCTTATTCCTGCTCAACTCCGTCTTCTCCCAACCTAGCTTCTATTTACACTGTACCCTTTGAAATTCTTGTTCTAGTGCCAAATATTTAAAAACAGTTCTCTATGCTCTTAACCTTTTCACTCACTATGTCCTCCACTTTCTGGCTTTAACTGAAACTTGGATTTCCCTGGAGAATTCTGTGTCCCTGCCACCCTCTCAAGTGGAGCCAGCTCATTCTTGTGCACATGGTCTCACTGATGGCCAGAGGTATTATCTTCTGGCTCTAGGCTTCTACCTGCAGAGCACCACTCTTTCACATTCTTTCAAAACCCCTTTCTTAAACAAAATTTATATCAATCAGCTTTCCGTCTATATTAGTTTCCTATTGCTGCTGTAAATAGGCTTAAACTAAGTGGCTTAAAACATCACAGATTTGGCCGGGCTGGGTGGCTCACACCTGTGATGCCAGCACTTTGTGAGGCCCAGGTGGGCGGATCACCTAAGGTCAGGCATTTGAGGCCAGCCTGGTCAACATGGTGAAACCCTGTCTCTACTAAAAATACAAAAATTAGCTAGGCGTGGTGGCGGGCACCTGTAATCCCAGCTACTCAGGAGGCTGAGGCAGGAGAATCGCTTGAACCTGGGAGGCAGAGTTTGCAGTGAGCCGAGATCGTGCCACTGCACTCCAGCCTGGGCAACAGAGTGAGATTCTATCTCAAAAAAATAATAATCATCATCATAGATTTATTATCTTATAGTTCTGGAGGTCTATAAAAAAGTGGGTATCACTGGGCTAAAATCAAGGTGTCAGCAGGATTGTGTTCCTTCTGGAAGCTCTAGGGGAGAATCTGTTTGCCTGCCTATTTCAGCATCTAGAGGCCACTTGCATTTCTTAGTTAATGACTGCTTCCTCCACCTCTGAAGGCAGCCATCGCTTCACTCAGTCCTCTGTTTCAGCTGTCATCACATCTCCTCTAGCTCTTTTGCCTCCCTTTTCTGTCATTTAAGAATACTCATGATTACATTGATCCCACTCCGAGAATCCAGGATCATCTCCCCGTCTCAAAATCCTTAATTTAATTACTCCTGCCAAACCCTTTTTAGATATAGGTTCTAGGGATTCAGATATGGACACTTTATTCCTCTTTCAATTCCTACTGCTTCCACCCCTGGAAAGCCCAGCCCCGTTCATCTTCTACTTGGAGATCTGTCTTCAACCCTTCCATTATCTTCAGTGATGTCTAGCTTTGATCTCTCTCTCTCTCTCTCTTTTTTTTTTTTTTTTTTTTTTTTTTGAGACAGGGTCTCTCTCTGTCACCCAGGCTGGAGCGCAGTGGTGGCGAGATCTCAGCTCACTGCAAACTCCATTTCCCAGGTTCAAGCAATTCTACTGCCTCAGCCTCCCAAGTATCTGGGACCATCGCACCTGGCTAATTTTTGTATTTTTAGCAGAAACGGGGTTTCACTGTGTTGGCCAGGCTGGTCTTGAACACCTGACCTCAAGTGATCCATTCGCCTTAGCCTCCCAAAGTGCTAGGATTACAGGTGTGGGCCACCATGCCTGGCCTGGCCTTGATCTCTTGATTCGTTGATCTCTTTTGTGTTTTTCTTAATCTCTAACCCGTCTAGGTCGCTATTTTTTGGTGGCAACCCCAGGCCTTGTTCTCACTCATGCTTCCTCCAGCTCTTTGAGACATCCCGCTCAGGCTACGCTCTCCTCTTTCCCTGGTGTTTTTCTCACTAAAGGTGCTCTTTGACCCCATTAAGACCTGTAGTTCCTCAAATCCCTGTCTACAAACAAGCTCCTCTCTGGTTCATCACTTCAGTGACATTTTTTTATCCACAGTGCCACTTCCTTCACCTCCCTTAGCCTCCTTTCTCTCCTTCCTCTACTGACCCAGTCCCTGGAAGAATTGTTTGGGCTTCAGAGTTGTGTGAGGGAGAATCTTGTCATGGCACTTCCTGGGACCCCTACAAGCTTGATTCATCAAACCTGTTCAACAGTGCTTTCTCTGTCTCTGGTGAGTTCCCTCTTGCAGCACCGTATTGGGAATTCCAAACACTGCATATAACCTCCACATCCCTCACTCATAGCACATAATGTTTTCTCAGACTCCAAAGAGAAAGACCACATGAGTCAGAAGTCTTCTGCCATTTCTAAATCTACCTAAAATACATCTCTTGTTGCTGCCTTCCTGTTAGCTTAGAGGTAGAGGGGTCTTTCCTTCTTTGTAAGGCCAACCCCTGCTCCTGCGTGCTGAATCTCCTCTCCATCAATTCCTCCTCTTTCAAATGTCAGAAGTCTTTATCCATTTCTCTCATTCAGAAACACAATGAAGTTTTCCTAGTCTCAACATAATCCTTCCCTTTGCCTTCACCTATCACACAAGCTACTGACCCTATCCCTCTCTTTGTAGATGGGACAGGGATAAACTGCAGGACACGACCAAAGCAGAAATAGCTTACTCCTAAAGAATAAAATGAGAAAAAATAAAACTTTTCATGTGTTAGGGGTGGACTCAGCCACCTATAGAGTAAAGCAAAACTAGGAATAAACGCAGATTTGGAGCCCTAAGTCTTATACAATAAGGTGGTGGTAGGGTCACTCTTTTTTTTTAATTTTTTTTATTTTTTATTTATTTATTATTTTTTTGGGGGGGGACTACAGGTGCAAGCGTCACCATGCCTGGCTAATTTTTGTATTTTTAGTAGAGACAGAATTTCACCATGTTGCCCAGGCTGGTCTCAAATTCCTGGGCTCAGGTGATCCACCACCTTGGCCTCCCAAAGTGCTGAGATTACAGGCATGAGCCACCGTGCCTGGCCAGGTCACTCCTTTAAAAAAGGATATAAAATTGGGTACAAACATAACTAAGGTCTTGGAAGGTATGAGTAAAGGGTGCTGAATCTTGAAGTTTATTTGTTTCATAGTAAATCTGCCCCTGCCTAGATAAAGGTACTGTATGAAGACAGTCTAGTGGTGGAGGATGTCTCTGAGAAAGAGTATATCTAATCATTGCATCATGATGTTTGAGAAAAGTACTTCCCAGAAAATAGTAGGCATCTCACTGCTAGTATTCAAGAAGATTTGGGGAATATCAGATAGTCAAATTTTACTTTATGAGCAATATGTTTAGCTCTTCAGTTGCCTTCAATTTGTGTCAAGGAATACTAGCTTTCCATTTGTGCCCATAACATAAAATTTCCTTTAAATAGTATTACTATTTTAAGTAAGCTAATTTTAAAAAAATTTATGCTAATACAGTAGACTCTTGAGCAACATGGATTTGAACTGCAAGGTCCACTTGTACATGGATTCCTTCTGCCTCTGCCACCCCTGAGACAGTAAGACCAACCCCTCTTCCTCCTCCTCCTCAGCATACTCAACAGGAAGATGAAAAGCATGAAGACCTTTATGGTGATCCACTTCCATTTGATAAATAGTAAATATAGTTTCTCTTCCTCATGATTTTCTTCATTAGATTTTCTTTTCTCTAGCTTACTTGATTGCATATAATACATATAACATAAAAAAAAATGTATTGTAAGGCTGCCAGATGGGCTATTAGTAGTTAAGTTTTGGGGAAGTGCAGAGTTATACATGGATTTTCAGCTGCAAGGGAGTTGGCACCCCTAAACTTTAACTGTAATCAAGGGTCAACTGTAATTGTACATGTGGTTGACGTATGGATATGGCAAATATTTTGATGATACCATGAGAATGATCATCTTTGGGGAGCACTGAGTCAAAGGGAATGGGATGGTTTCTCTAAAAGAAAAATCTAGAGAAACAAAATATGGCAATGCAACTCCATTGCTGCCCAAGGGGAAAGGCACCACAGCCTATGAGCATGAGCATCTGAACAATACGGCAAGTATATTACAGTGGAGATGGATGTGCAGCATATCACAGATTCATGACACTAGTCATGTAATCTGGGTGATCCCTCTTGCTCTGAGCTCATGTTTCCTGGCAACATTTTGATTATAATTAGGCTTTGCCTATAAGCTATAAAGGTCTCATTAGCAAACCATGAACATCTGGCTTGCTTGGTAGTTTATCACTCAATATCAACTAATCAATCAACATTGTGGTTTTTAAACATAAGCTCACGTGAGTTTGGACCCTTATGCTGGCAAGCTTGGTTTTGGAGCCTGAAAGACTAAGGGCTGGAGCTGAAGACCTTGGCTGGAGGTACATTTGCCAAGGTGACATCACCTGTAGACATGTCTCTGTGGCCACGCTTTCCTCCTTCCTCAGGTGCCATCTGACGTTGTTGAATGATTTTACATCAAGCTACAGCTTCATTTGCTCCTTGATGTTTATAATCTGCCTCCAACTCTGTCGTTCTTTAAGAAAGTGCTCAGGAAGTGCACCCATGGCCTTCTAAGTGTCCAACTCGGGCTGATTTTCAGAACTCGTCCCCATTGACCTCCCTTATCTTTGAATGCTTTTGAGTATTTGATGTCTTCCATCTGGCTTCTAAGACACTCTTTTAAAACTATTCTCTGTCAAATGTTTAAAAAAATTTCCTCTCCAGATTCCACTTCTGCTTACCCCTTAAACATAGATAGCTCCATGGTAAACAGCAGAGAGTGGGGCACTGAGGTCAGGTCACTTGAGTTCAAATTCACTTACCAAATATGTGAACTTGGGCAAATGACCTAATCTTTTTTTTTTTTTTTTGAGACAGAGTCTTACTCTGTCGCCCAGGCTGGGGCACTATCTCGGCTCACTGCAACCTCTGCCTCCCAGGTTCAAGTGATTCTCCTGCCTCAGCCTCCCCAGTAGCTGGGATTACAGGCACCCACCATAATGCCCAGCTAATTTTTGTATTTTTGTAGAGACGGAGTTTCACCATGTTGGCCAGGCTGGTCTCAAACTCCTGACCTCAGCCAAAGTGCTAGGATTACAGGCGTGAGCCACTGTGCAGGGCCAATGACCTAATCTCTTTAAACCTCAGATTATTCATCTGAAAAAATAACAGTAACAATAGTATCTAAGTAAAATTGATGGCAGCATTAACTGAGATAATTCACATAAAAGGTGTGCTTGGCATATGATAAGTACTCAGTAAGTGATAGCTGTTTCTTCCTCAACCACACATGGCTTTAATTACTATATGAAATAATCAGATAGAGTTTTCCAGCCTTGAGCTCTCTCCTCAGCTCCAAATTGGTGTTTTAACTGCCTACAGATAACTCCTGCAGGCCCCTCAAATGGAGCATGTCTAAAACAGAAATTATCAACACCCTTCCACCCACTGTGCCCTGTTACATAGATGAGCTTGGAGGACATTATGTTAAGTGAAATAGGCCAGGCACAGAAAGATAAATGCCACATGTTCTCACCTATATGTGGAAACTAAAATAGTTGACCTCATAGAAGTAGAGAGTAGATATTTCAGCCTTGCTTTAATGGAGCGAGAAGTGTGTTTTCTCCATGTGAACCCCAGTGAAGTAGGGAGGACTGTGGTTGTTCTGTCTAGCTCTGACTTTGTGGAACAGAGACAAGGCCTCGCTATGTTGGCCAAGCTGGACTCGAACTCCTGGGCTCAGCCTCCTAGTAGCTGGAATTACAGGCAAGCAGCACCATGCCCAGCTTTCAGCACCAGTTTTTTTGTTTGTTTTTTTGAGACGGAGCCTTACTCTGTCACCAGGCTGGAGTACACAGGCATGATCTCGGCTCACTACAACCTCTGCCTCCCAGGTTCAAGCGATTCTCCTGCCTCAGCCTCCCGAGTAGCTGGGACTACAGATGTGCACCACCACGCCCAGTTAATTTTTGTATTTTTAGTAGAGACTGGGTTTCACCATGTTGGCCGGGATGGTCTCGATCTCTTGACCTCATGATCTGCCCACCTCAGCCTCCCAAAGTGCTGGGATTACAGGCGTGAGCCACTGCGCCTGGCCTCAGCAGCAGTTTTTATAAGCCAAATTTTCCAGATTGGAAAGACTGATCAAAGAAGTATTTTTATCCAAGGAATAAGTTACCTGTGGAGAACCTCAACTCAGACCAGTCAGGACTGACTCCAGTGTTTCTAAACTTTAAATGGCGAATCCAGAATGTAATGTATCTCAAAACGGTAATGTGATGGTTAATATTGAGTGTCAACTCGGTTGAAGGATGCAAAGTATTGTTTGGATTGAAGGATGCAAAGTATTGTTTCCGGGTGTGTCTGTGAGGGTGTTGCCAAAGGAGATTAACAATTGAGTCAGTGGCCTGGGAGAGGCAGACCCACCCTCAATCTGGGTGAGCACCATCTAATCAGCTGCCAGCACAGCTAGGATAAAAGCAGGCAGAGGAACGGGAAGAACAAGACTGCCTGTCTTGTAGCCTCCATCTTTCTCCTGTGCTGGATGCTTCTTGTCCTTAAACACTGGACTCCAAGTTCTTCAGTTTTTGGACTCTTGGACATACACCAGTGGTTTGTCTTTTGGGGCTTTTGGGCCTTTGGCCATAGACTGAAGGCTGCACTGTCGGCTTCCCTTCTTTTGAGATTTTGGGACTCAGACTGGCTTCCTTGCTCCTCAGCTTGCAGACGGCCTATCGTGGGACTTCACTTTGTGACTGTGAGTCAACACTCCTTAATAAACTCCCTTTCATATATACACCTATCCTATTAGTCCTGTCCCACTAGAGAACCCTGACTAATACAGCTAAAAAAGTACATTTTCTCAGATGTATATTATAATTTAAAAATAGGCCAGGCGCAGTGGCTCACACCTGTAATCCCAGCACTTTGGGAGGCTGAGGAGGGCAGGTCATGAGGTCAGGAGATCAAGACCATCCTGGCTAACAAGGTGAAACCCCGTCTCTACTAAACATACGGAAAATTAGCTGGGCTTGATAGTGCACGCCTGTAATCCCAACTACTCGGGAAGCTGAGGCAGGAGAATTGCTTGAAACCGGAAGGAGGAGGTTGCAGTGAGCCAAGATCGTGCCATTGCACTCCAGCCTGGGTGACAGAATGAGACTCTGTCTCAAAAAAAAAAATTGAAAATTGAAAATAGTGAATGAAGAAGAAGATGAAGGAGAAGAGGAAGAGGAAGAGGAAGGAGAAGAAGAAGAAGAAAAGAAAAGAAGAAGGAGGAGGAGGAAGAAAGGAGAAGGAGAAGAAGGAGGAGGAGGAAGAGAAGGAGAAGGAGGAAGAAGAAAGGAGAAGGAGAAGAAGGAGAAGGAGAAGAAGAAGAAAGAATAGTGGTTACTACAGGCTGGGAAGTACAGGCTGGGAAGGCTAGTTGGGGGGAGGAGAGCAAAGGTTGGTCAATGGATGCAAGCGTAGAGCCAGATAGGAGAGGTAAGTGCTGGTGTTCTACAGCCCTACAGGGGGACCATCATTAATAACAATATTGTATCTTTTCCAATAGCTGGAAGAGTGGATTTTGAATGTTCCCAACACAAAGAAATGATAAATGTTTGAGATAATTAATATGCTAATCACCCTGATTTGATCATTACACATTGTATACATATATATATATAAATATCACACTGTACTCCATAAATATGTACAATTGATACTGTTCGGATGAGTGAAGGAACACCAGGGCTCTTGTCTCATGCCAAACTGAATAAAACGACACGGACACATGTGGAGTGGTTTTAAGGAGTGGAGAGTTTAATAGGCAAGAAAAAGGGAAAAGAAATAAGCTCCCCTGTACAGAGACAGAGGGAGGGGGGCTCCAAAGCCGAGAGAGAAAAGTGGCTGCTTATATGAGGAGGCTGGAGGAGTGGTGTCTGATTTGCATAGGGCTCAGGGGATTGGTTTGACCAGGCATGTCACCTATGCAGCCCCGGAAAAAACTGGCTCTCCCACCCTAGCCTTTTAATATGAAAATACAGAGAGTCATGATGTTCTACATACATGGGGATAAGTGGGGGCGGCCATGTTGCCAGGAGCATGTGGGAGCAAGGGCAAGGAGAAGAGGGAGGAAATCTCTATGATTGGGTGGACCCAGTTTCTGATGGTTTGTATTAGCATATCAAAGGTTGCCGGCCTGACTCTAAGGCCTGGGGCTTTCCTGCTAGACAAGAACGTCTCTAGGCCGCCTTTTCTTTCTTTCTTTTTTTTTTGAAACGGAGTTTCGCTCTTGTTGCCCAGGCTGGAGTGCAATGGCGTGATCTCGGCTCACTGCAACCTCCACCTCCCGGGTTCAAGCGATTCTCCTGCCTCAGCCTCCCAAGTAGCTGAGATTACAGGCATGTGCCACCACACCCAGCTAATTTTGTATTTTTAGTAGAGAGAGGGTTTCATCCTGTTGGTCAGGCTGGTCTGGAATTCCTGATCTCAGATGATCCGCCCGCCTCGGCTTCCCAAAGTGCTGGGATTACAGGTGTGAGCCATCGCGCCTGGCCGCATCTTGATCTTGGCCGCTTTAAAAGAAACGAAAACTTCCCAAGGACCCCTTTTCCTCTCTATCTGCCTAAAATAATTTTTCTTTCTTTCTTTTTTTTTTTTTTTTCTGTAATGAAGTCTCACTCTGTAGCTCAGGCTGGAGTGCAGTGGCGTGATCTCGGCTCACTGCAACTTCTGTCTCCTGGGTTCAAGCAATTCTCCTGTCTCAGCCTCCAGAGTAGCTGGGACTACAGATGCACGCCACCATGCCTGGCTAATTCTTGTATTTTTAGTAGAGATGGGGTTTCACCATATTGGTCAGGCTGGTCTTGAACTCCTGACCTCAGGTGATCCACCACTTTCAGCCTCCCAAAGTGCTGGAATTACACGCATAAGCCACCACCCTTGGCCTAACAGCAGCAAGTTTTCACCCAATTTTTTGCTGATTAATCCCTACTGATAAGTAGCATTATGGTATATCCAGTCATCCAAGCCAGAAAATTAGGAGTCATTGTTACACCTCGCCTCTTCTATACATCCCCCTCTTCGTGGCCACAAAACCTTGAATTCTCTCCCACAGATTGTTCCCTCAGAAGCCTCCCTGTGCCATCTTCAGTTCAGGCCTCACTGGACCATTGCAAATGCTTCTTAAAGTGGTTTTCTTGTTCTGATTTATCTTCTACAGTGCTGTCTGAATTTTGTCTCTTTTAAAAAATATCTAATGATGTCACTCCTGCTTACTGCATGCTGCATGACCAACCCCAGGCTTTTGACATTCTGGTTGCTAGTTGCCTCCTCACTCGCTCCTCACTCGCTCCTCACCACCACCCTCCACCCTACCCACTGCGCTAAGGCTTCCATACTTGCTTTGCTCTCTCAATGAGTCCTGCCTTCCTCTGAGCCCTCTGTTCCCTCTTCTGTGCTCCGCTCCAGCGTCACCTCCTCTGTGCCATTTTCTCTTGGTCGGAATGCTAGTGGTTTCTTATGACAGTTCTGAGTGTGTTGTATTGACAGGCTCTGTTCTGTCTTCACTGGACTGTGAGCTCCTTGAGGGCAAGCACCTTGCTGCTTACACCGCTGATTTCCTGGCACAGCACCTGTCACAGTGGGAACAGAAGCACAGCAGGCCCTTGGAAGGTAGCTGGCAGTAGCTGCAATTGGTTAAGCAACTGCCACGTTCCAGGCTTAGCATTTTCCATATTCTCATTTCATCTACCCTTATGATCACTCCTTGTTTCATCTTCTTCTGTGACATTTTCCTGGTAAAACTTCATTCCTGGTTGTATTAGTTTGTTAGGGCTGCTGTAACCAAATATCACAGACTGGAAGGCTTAAACAACAGAAATTTGTTATCTCTCCATGCTGGAGGTTGGAAGTCTAAGATCAAGGTGTGAGCAGGTTTGGTTTCTGGTGAGGCCTCTTTCCTTGGTTTGCAAAGTGCCACCGTTGCACTGTGTCCTCACGGGGCCTTTCTTCTGCATGCTCACAGGAAGAGAGAGCTCTCTGGTGTTTCTTCCTCTTCTCATAAGGTCCTGTCCCATAGGATTACAGCCCCACCCTTACGATGTCATTTACCTTAATTACATCTTTTAAGGCCCTGCCTCCCAATACAGTCACACTGGAGGTTAAAGCTTCAACATACAAATTTTGGGAGAACACAATTCAATCCAAAATGCTAAATCTAACTCACTCCCTACTCTTGGGTTTGCACCTGAACAGCCAGACACAGGTGAAGAAAAACATACAACCATGCCCACTAGGCTCACTTTAAAGTTAGGATCTCAAACCTCAAGGGAGCCTTCAGCCCCTCCAGCAAACCCATCACATATTGCTGGTCCATCCACTCAGCCACTCCATGAGGGGACAATTTCACACCGTCTCCTCTGTCCTCAAACTCTCAGCACACCCTCCTCTCTCTTCATCCTCCACTCATGACCTTGCATCCTGTTTCACTGAGAATATCAAACATTCATGTCCCCACTGTTCTGCATTTGTTCCCATAGGCACTCCCTTCTTCCTATAATCGTGGAAAAAACATCCCGAATGAGCAAGCCCAGGATACCACACCAGGACTGACCCTTCACTTATGCACAGATTCCATCCCCCTCACCAGCCTCTGCAAGAATCCTGTCTCCTGCACCATCCATTTCCTCTTTCTCTTGGATAATTTCCTTCAGCATAAAATCAGAAGCACATGACATTAACACAATATCTTCCAGCTTAAAAAACAGACACATTAAAAAAAAAACTCTCCCTAGAGCCCACTTCTCTTGGCTGCTGCCTCATTTAGAAAAGTTCCTTGAAAGACTTGAAGACTTGCTAGCTCCCCTTCCTCACCATCCATTCTCTCTGGAACCCACACCAGTGAGGCAGTCAACTCCCCATTTTGCCAAATCCATACCTGAGGTCACCAATTGTTTCCCAGTGCCAAACAAAAGGGTAGTTCTCAGTTCTCATTATACTTAATCCATGAGCAGCCACTGACAGAATTTATCGCTGCCTCCTTCTTGAAATGCTGTTACTCCTGACTTTTGGGACAACTTGCTCCTCCCCTCTCAGTGGCCACTCGCTCTCAAGCTCCTTTTCTGAATCGCCCCTTTTTTATTCCTGTACATGGGGAGCTTCAGGGCTCCGGCTTCAAACCTCTTTTTTCTCTGCAGTCACTCTCTGGGTGCCAGGTCCTTGGCTTTAAATACCATTTATATCCTAAAGACTCATCAATCTACATCTCTAGGTCAGATCTCTCTCCTAAACTCCTCTCCGCTGTTCAATAGACACATCAAAGTCAACATGTTCAGGACAGAGCTCTTAATTTTCTTTCCCAAAGTTGTTCCTCCTTTAGCATTATCCATCTCAATAAATAACATGATTCACATAGTTTTTCAAGCCAAAAACCTTGAGGTTCTCCTTGACTCTTTTCTCTTATATCTCATATCCAATCTATCAGCAAATCAGGTAGATCAAACTATAAAATAGATCCAGGATTTACCACTTCTCATCATCCCCCCCATTGCCAACCTGGCTCTTGTCACCAATAATTCAAAGGTCCTCTCCCTTGAATTATTGCAAGAGCCTCTTGCTATATAACTTGTCTGCCTTCTTCCGTTTTTGCCTCATTAACATCAATTCTTCACACAGCCGCCAGACTGAGCCTTTAAAAAGGAATCAGATCAGATCATCCCCCTACTCAACAACCCTTGACTGTTCCCACCATACTTCAGGTTTTTTTCTTCTCTTTTTCACCACCCATTTCTTAGCATGAATTCCATCACACTGAGAATAAGAACCAAAAGCCCGTGCTGGGCCTGGCCCTATAGCATCTGTCTCTGGCCTTCCTGTCTGACCTCATTGTCCACCACTCCTTCCCTTCTCTTGCTGTGCTCCAGACACAGTAACGTTCCCGCTCCTCCTTGAACGTGCCAAACGCATGCCTGCCTCAGGGCCTTTGCACTTGCTGTCTTCCTTGCCAGAAATCTCTTTTCCCAGATAGCCACATAATTTGCTTCCTCACATCATTCAGATCTCTGCACAGATATCACTTCCTTAGAGAAATTTTCCTAGACTGCCTCCCCGCAGTCTAACAAACACACTCCATCACTGTCTCCTTAAGTAGCTTTATATTTTTATATTGCCTCATAGCACATACCATGACTTGACATTTATTGTATCTATTTATGTCCTTGTTTATTGTTATGACACTGGAATGTGAGCCCCAAAAAGGCAGACGCTGTCAGTTTTGTTCATTGCCACATCTCTAGCACCTAAGACAGTGTCTGGCACACAGTAGGTGCTTGTATTAGTTAGCTAGGGCTGTCGTAACAGAGTATCTCAGACTAAGTGGCTTAAACAACAAATTTGTCTCACAATTCCGGGGACTAGATGTTCAAAATCAAGGCGTCAGCTGGGTGGATTCCTTCTGAGGGCTAGAGGGAAGGATCTATTCCAGGCCTCTCTCAGCTTGCAAATGGCCATCTTTTCCTTTCATCTGTCATTTGTCTTCCTGTTATTGTATCTCTCTGTCCAAATTTCCCCTTTTCACGAGGACACCAGTCATACTGGGTTACGGCCCAGCCCTAATGATTTTACTTTAACTTGATTACTTCTGTAAAGATGCTATCCCAAAATAAGATGCTATTCTGAGATATTAGGGGTTAGGACTTCAACATATGAATTTTGGTGGTACACAATTCAACATGTAAGAGTGCTCCATGAATTTTTGTTGCATTTGTGAATGCATGAAGACTGATTGGATAAATAAATCCTCAGAACAACCCTTTGCACTGTCAGTGCAACATATAATTATTTTCCCCAATTTACAGTTCGTCTTTTAACTATTTATATCCTGCTAACATGGTTTATTATACGAATCCAATCACATTCTTCTTTTTTTTTTTTTTTTTTTGTCAAGACTGGGTCCTGGCCGGGCGTGGTGGCTCAAGCCTGTTATCCCAGCACTTTGGGAGACCAAGGCGGGTGGATCACCTGAGGTCAGGAGTACAAGACCAGCCTGATTAACGTGGAGAAACCCCCTCTCTACTAAAAATACAAAATTAGCCGGGCGTGATGGCACATGCCTATAATCCCAGCTACTTGGGAGGCTGAGGCAGGAGACTCACTTGAACCCAGGAGCCAAGGTTGCAATGAGCCAAGATCACGCCGTTGCACTCCAGCCTGGGCAACAAGAGTGAAACTCTGTCTAAAAGAAAAAAAAAAAAGAGAGACAGGGTCTCACTCTGTTTCCCAGGCTGGAGTGCAGTAGAATGATAACGGCTCACTATAGCCTCAATCTCCCAGGCTCAGGTGATCCTCCCGAGTAGCTGGGGCTGCAGGCATGCAGCACCATGCCTACCTAATTTTCTGTATTTTTAGTAGAGACAGAGTTTCACCATGTTGTCCAGGCTGGTCTCAAACTCCTGGGCTCAAGCGATCCACCCCACTCAGCCTCCCAAAGTGCTGGGATTACAGGCTTCAGCCATGATGCCTGGCTTCCAATCACATTCTTAAAAGAATACCAATTCCACATATTCCAAGGTTAATAAAATTAATTTAGCCTAAAAGATGGCTGATCAAAGGGTTCCATCCTGTATATTGTCAACAATAAAAACCGTTGGACCCCTGTGTGAATTAACTCAGAAATGAGCTTTTATCAGCAGTAGCACAAATATACACTAGGGGCTAGAGCATGGAGAGGAAAGGCAATGAAACAAGTTTGGAAATGTAAAGCAACCTTTTGTTTATTAATCCTTAGAGAGAATGGTGAAAGGGCTACTAGATTTGTGAGCTAAATTGGTTAGAAAATAATCAAATAGGCCGGGTGCGGTGGCTCACACCTGTAATCCCAGCACTTTGGGAGGCCAAGGTGGGTAGATCACCTGAGGTTGGGAGTTCAAGACCAGCCTGGCCAACATGGTGAAACCCCATCTCTACTAAAAATACAAAATTAGCCAGGTGTGGTGGCTTGTGCCTGTAATCCCAGCTACTCGGGAGGCTGAGGCAGGAGAATCACTTGAACCAGGAAGGCAGAGGTTGCAGTGAGCTGAGATTGCACCATTGCACTCTAGCCTGGACAAAAACAGCGAAACTCCATCTCAAAAAAAAGAAAAGACAGAAAAGAAAACAATCAAATACTTTCAGCCAGGCACAGTGGCTCACAACTGTAATCACAGTATTTTGTGAGGCCCAGGCAGGTGGATTGCTTGAGCCCAGAAGTTTAAGACCAGCCTAAGTAACATGGTGAAACCCCATCTCTACAAAAAAATACAAAAAATTAGCTGGGCATGGTGGCAGACACCTGTAGTCCCAGATACTCAGGAGACTGAGGTAGGAGAATCACCTGAGCCCACGAAATCAAGGCTGCAGTGAGCCATGATTACGCCACTGTACTCCAACCTGGGTGACAGAGCAAGATTCTGTCTCAAAAAAATAAAATACTTTCAACTTTCTCCTGCTGGACATTCCTCCGCCCTTTGCTAAATTCTAAAATATGTGCATATGAAAAAACAATATGATATATAGTACAAATCAATTAAAGTGCTCCTGAAGAAAAAGACAGATAAGCATATAGATTAGACATGTGGATTATAGAAGTATCAGTCCACATTTTATGGGATCTTCAATTACATAAAAAAGTGCCTAAAATTTGTAAGTAGACAGACAAGATAATGAAGTAGCAAAATACAGAACTCACGGTGTTTAATCAATGCTCACAGTGTTGCAAAATACCGTATTGTTATGTGAACAGCTCACTGAGGAGAAGGTACATAAATGGAGCTCAATGTCACAGTATATTAAAATTTAGTGCCAACCTGATCTGACACATATTCAATGGTGCATCATTATGGTGGTGCTTGAAAATTAAGAGTAAATGGGAAGTGGTTCACTTAAGTGATTTTAATTAGCACCTTACACAGTCTAATCAAGAATGTCTAGGTTTTGCTGGGAAAGGAGTGAAGTGAAACATGGCTGAGCAGCCTGCTGCGCTGGGACCCTTCTGAGAAGACAGTGAGGTCCAGGACATGGTGTCCACAGCAATAGATAGTTTCCTTGGTCCAGCAGAGCCATCCAGGGGCCTTTGGACAGCGTGGACACTGATGTCTGGGTTTTACTTGGCTGATCCCTCTGCCTGGAATACTTCCACCCCTCCACCATGTCGGGGTAAGTCAGTCTCATACTTCAGATTTCAGCTAAGGTATCATCTAGATGCATTTACTCATTTAATCCTCAGGACAGTGCCTCATGAGGAAGAAGCACTGAAATTGTAGATCAGAATGGAACGTCTAACACATATAGCCCAATTTCTTCCTCCCTTCTATAGCTGCCTCCAGTTCTCAGCTCAGGATGGAAACTTGGTGAACAGTGGGATCAGCCAGAGCGGGCAAGGCTGAGACACAGATGGAGTGTGTTATCTGGGGATTTGTGTGACCAGTGGTGGTCCAAGATGGCAGACTGTGGGCTGGAGAGGTCCAGGTAGGAGGACATCCAGACAGGTGGACAGAGCAGTGCTGGAGAGTCAGGGAGAGTGGCACAAGTTTAGACCCAGGCAGGCTGCACCCGAAAGGCCTCCCTCAAGACTCTCTATGAAGACACCAGACAGGAACACCCAGCAGGGTTAGAGAGTGAGCCATCTAAGTCAGTACCAGGGGAACTGGAGTCCCAAGTTAGAAATCAAAGTAGGGATCCAGTTGTTGGTCAGTGGGGTACAAGATCAGTGCAAAGCCTTAAGCAAGACTGACCGGAAGCTACCCAAGCTGGTCTGAAAATGTAGAGCTCCTTGATCCTCCCTTGACAAAGGAGACCCTCCTGCACTTTAGACAGGGTTAAGGAGGCACCTGCATGAGAACTGGAGTGCAACAAAGGCAATCATTGCTTCTATGGTTTGTTTGTCCAACTCCTTGTTCTTGTCACTGTGTTGAAGGATAGACTTAATTTCCATATCACAGAGATGCACTAAATGTGTTTGACTTTCAACTTAAAATAACGTTCCTTTTCTTTCTCTTTTATCTAGATCTTAGACCTTGCACTAAGCTAATAATTTACTATGGGAGAGGTCCTTGAGACTCAACACTCAGGAAATAAGGTACTCTGGGGATGTTGCCTAGATACATTGAGTTTGTTTGGCAGGGTTTTTGTTTATTCCGCCTTTGAATTTTGCCTTCAGTACATTGCATTCTCTGCTTTAGAGGAGACTAGATTTGTAGAAATCTCCAGAAATAGGCAAAATCATGAGTATTTTCTCCAACCTAAAATGGTTTGGCCTATTTCATCCCTCTTTAATATTTTGTTTAAGTTTTGCTACCTGTTTTATTTTATGAAAGTGGGGTACAGGGTGTGGGTTTTAATGGTAACGAAGCACAGGTCAAACAACAGCGGAACGTGACCATCGTGACCTAAAAATAGGTCAAAGTCACGTCTCAGGTAGCTGCACAACAAAGCAAATGCCGTCCACCTTTTTTTGGTGTGATTAAACCTAAGTTAAAGTGAAACAATAATGCAAGAATTTGTTTTTTAAAAAAACTAGGAAAAAGGAAGATTGGTTCTTGGAAATAAACCAAGGGATATGGGAGGTGCCATTCTTATTCATTTTTGAAGTGACCTCAGGCCTTGAATGAGGGAGCCCCATGTAACTAGTTTTGGGGGCGTTTAGGGATAGAAATGGGTGTTGTAAATATGCTCCTACTCATGACCCTCCCTACCCCACAACACAGGGACATCACTTTCTTCTTTTAAGCCCACATCTGAGTGCTTACCCTGTGCCGGACCCTGGTCTAGGAACCTCATAGTAACATGAAACATCCTCTCTACAACCCTGTTATGTAGGCAAATTTTATAGATGAGGAAATCAAAGCAGAGACAAGTCAGCTTGCCCAAGGTCACACAGAGAAGCAAGCCACCGATCTAGGAATCAACCTCAGACCCTTTGGCTTCAGAGCCAGAGTGCTTAACTGCATTTAATACTGTTCCCATTTTAAAAGGGATATAGAAAAGGGTCAGAGACTGCGAAACAAAACTCAGAGCAGAGACTGGGGGAAATTAGGGAAAGGGAGGGAATGCTTTCCCCTAATGTAGCCTCCCATTGGCAAATGGGGAAAATCAAGCAGCCACCCCTCCAAACGGCACTCCCAATTCCCCTCTGCTTGTTCTCTTTGCCACAGCGCCTACCATCCGCACGCTGTGCAATGTACTTGTTTGTCATGCTTATCATATTGCCTGTGTCTGCCACTAAGACGTAGGCACATAAGAACACGCATCTTCATCTGTTTTGTTCCCTGAGGTACCCAAGTTTCTAGAACTGTGCCTGGCCCGTGGTAGGCACTCAGGATTGTTTAAATAAATAATACCTGCCACCTAATGAGATAGCTGAAAAAATTAAAATCTTCAAATTAATAACACAAAACAATGTTCAAAACAGTGTTTCATGAATGGGTAAAGTATCAGGAGGCGAAGAAGACCCTTAAGGTATAGCCAAGTACAATGAGATTGTTATCGCTATGTTTCACCTCCAAAGAATTGCTCCCAGTGTAGGAGCAGCCCTGAAATCGAGGTGACACCCTTCTTCCCCGGGGAGATTAGCATATAAATAAGACAAATAAGACTAGACAAAAAGCCACCTAGAAATGAGACAGCAGGAAGCGGGAAGATGGAGGTTGTTGGTTTCGATTTTCTTTTTCTTCCCAGGTTTATTGTTTCACCCTTTCTCTCCGCTTTTTAAAATGTCCCTTTTGATCCACTTGGTTAAATAGCATTCTCAGACACTTCATTCTAGTGGAGTCTTTAATTGCATAATTTTAGAAGGTTGTGCCAGGATTGAAGTTAGACTGCACGGTGGGTTAACTGTGAATCATATTCTGTGTGGGCTGAAAAAGGGGTCTCCACGCGAAATCTGACACGAATAGTGATCAGAAGACAGTGAAGTAAGCCCAGAGAGCCCAAGCTCTGGTCCTTCAGCAGGAGCTCAGCTCCTCCCCTGCTGTTGCTGTCCTTCTTCATCCTTCTGCTGTTTGTGTGAACCATGACCCTCCCTGCAAGGCCTTGCCAGGCGCTGTCTCCACTTCTCCACTTCTTCACGTGGTCCTACCTCAGTGTGGGGCTGACATGGAAGCACAGAATTTTGCAGGATGTTGCATGAGGGATGCTACTGAAGGTTCTTTCTGGTGAGTTCCGGAGATCTGCCCAGGAACTGTGCTCACAATGACACTTTGAGCAACCTCAAGACATACAGTGCCTCACACAGGCGTTGCCATTGCAGATAAATGGCTCCAAGGAGATTCTGAATTACTCCAAAGGTGAATGAGGGAGACGTGGTTTCACACTATTTGTATTAATATACTAATAGCAAAAAGTAAAGGGAACTTGCTAGGTGCCAAGAATGGAATAAGCATTTGCATCAATTTAATCCTCTCAACAACCTTATGAGGAAAAGTGCTATTATTATAATACCTTTCATTATAGATGAGAAAAACTGAGAAGTTAAAAGTGTGTCCAGGGTCACATAGCTAGAAAACAGTAACCACAAGACTAGGACCTAGGCCACTGGCTGCAGAAGCACTGCTCTCAGTCATAACTCAGCTTTGCTCCTCTGTGTTAAAAATGTGCATTGATAATGAAAATACCTGTCCAATAGGGCCCTGAGTGCTTTATAGATTTTCTCATTAAATCCTTATTAAAACCCTATGAGGTGGCCCTGGTTGACCCAAAGGGAACTGCCAGACAAATCTAGACTGGGGGACATTCTACAGGATAT